>NC_000006.12:49756969-50060000 GCF_000001405.40 Homo sapiens | reverse complement strand
TTTAACATGTGGAAGCTTAAAGATTTTTAGGCTGTTTTTGATAACAAGGCACTTTTCAGAAGGTTTACAAATTTCTGAGCTTTGACAGTTCACTGATATGCCTTTGTTATTGTCTTGTAAAGTCACACATTTGCTCACATTGCACTAAGGTGTACAAATATATTTTCTTTATATTTCATATAGCATATGTTAAAAATATCATTCTACTGAATAATGGGGAGCTCCATTCTCTACCAATCCTTTTGGATAACTCAGCCCTAGATAGTAAGTTAGAATATCTCAGTAGGAAAATGCTTAGTCTTTCAGAGTGGTACTCCTTTCTTCTGCTCAACACAAAGATTGTATCTGTCTTTATGGAGAAAGAGGGCTCATGTGACCACATGCTAGAAAAGGAGTGGCCCTGGGATTCACAGTACCATCTTCTTGTCCCTCTGGTCTCCATAGTGATGTTCTGCACCTACCTGGTCTATTTTCCCTTTTGGACTTTGCGTCTTAATTTTATGACTATTATATTAGTGGTTTATTTTTCTCATTTGGAGCTGAGTGGTTCTTCCCACTTCCTAGGACCAATCTCAGGTCTCCTTGGCACTATAGACCTTTGGAAATATAACTGCAAATCTCTTTAACCTCAGGCACTGACAGACTGTGAATTCAGGATCAATTTGTTCCTATAAGGGTCACATTTTTCTGGCAGCATCACATTCAGACTATTAGCTAACATCTATGTCCCTCTCCACATTCCCAAGTGCATATGAAAAATTCTGGGTCTCATCCCAGCTGAGACTGGCATGGCAGCTGCAGTGGCTGGGAAAGCTGTGTCTACTTCCCCATTGCCTAACTAGCCTATGTGGCAGTTTTTTTTTCCTTTGTTTATGATTGACCCCAGGTTGGTATAAAGATATCCTGAGTGGGATATCTTCCTTAAGTATTGAAGTGGGGGTAAAATTTCCAAGCTGTTGATCATCTATCTTATCAATCCATCTCGCCCATGTTCTCTCTGATCATGTTGGAGACTGGAGGGAAGTCTGTGATACAGGCATCTCTCTTCTACTGCCCCTTTTGTCGCTTTTCCACATTTTGTGGGGAAACTAGCAGGAACTGGATTTCTCTCTCTTCTTGGCAGGATGAGATACTTCTGTATATCATATTTCCCCCTTCCTTAGGTGGAAAACCCTGTACTTATTCACAGGAGTTACAATGGTAAATTGCAAGCAAGGAGAATATGAGTTACTGTTAAGGGAACAGAATGAAAGTTATTTTCTTCCCTTCTTTATTTTCAGCTTCTCACTTGTAACTTCTTTTATTATCAAAATGCCTAGAGGTTATATGCCACTGGTACACATAGATATAACCATTTTAGTTGTTAAAATATTGAAACCCTTTTATTGTTGTTGGTAAATAACCACTGTGCTAATTCTCCAAATACACTCACTGTCACCACGGGATTATCATCCTTCTCCTGAAATGTCCAGACTTTCCTAGGAACTAGTAACAAAAGGGGTAATATTTGGCATATCGGGAACCGCCAGTACCCTCCTTCAGCATCAGAGATAGAATTCATTCTGCCTGGTCACTGCCTGGCTGTGCCATCCATGTAAAATATGGTGAATATCATCCTCGAATATTCCTCTAAATAATTACTCTACTGCCTCCGAAATACTCTGTGTTCAAGTGTCAATCAGCATGCCCCACAAGTTCTACAGAATTTACTTGTCCAGCCATGATGTGATGAAAATCAGGCTGAACTCTGCCTCCATAGTCTTGTGAGAGTCAAGAACCCTTCTACAACTGGCATCCCATTCTTCTTTTTATCTTTGTACTCACCCATCTACATCTCTGCATTTAACTGAGGTTTAAAATTCACTCCCTGCTCTGGTTACTCAAAATTTTCTACTTGCATTTAAATACTATTTACACATAGTAAATTTAATTAATACTTAGTGGTCATAGGGTAGTTTCGCACTGTGGCACATGTAGACTGCTACTCATATTCTAGCTGTTTATATCTCAGCTCCTGGGAGCAATACATTTTTTCGTCTTTCTTATGAAGATACCTCGATTCATATTTGTGCTCAGAGAATCTGTTTATACTCAGAATGGACTTTTCAGAGAAGGTAATCAGTTAAGACAGGATGTTTCTTCTAGAGAGAAGTAATACCAGTTTCTGAGAAAATAATACTGTATTCATATTGTTACAAAAAAGTTCTAAAATTATATATAGTCACAGGCATTATCTTTCTCTGATTCATCTATATTTTTGGATGTAGCTGGAGTTAATTCATTCTCATCATGAATTTATCATTATTTGAATGACTATGACTTATTCATCCTCGTCTGTGAACTTTTGTTTTCAGTGATATGCTACTACAAGCAATATTGTTATGATTATTCTTATACATGTCTCCTGAAAGATTACATGTTTTAATACATCACATCATGACGTGAGAGAAAGAACTTCACAAAACCAAAAGATCCTGGACTCTTAGATGGTTGTTTCATTGAAATGCGTTTTTAGCTGTATCCTTTGAGGAGGGAAGGAGGTTGTTCTACATGTGAGACAAAAATTTAAATAGATATTTATTGAATGGAAAAAAGGTATTGTACGTCAGACTGGCTAGCTATTTAATGATGTATTTTTTTTCTCTTTCTCCTGAGAGCACAGAGTATAGAAACTAGACTACGTTTTCCAGCCTACCTTATAGTTAAGAGTGGCCATATAACCGAGGCCAGTTCACACTGGTGAATAAAATAAATCCTGGTAGAAATGATGTGCACCATTTTCAGACCCAGTTCATAAAATACTTTGATGCAAGATTCTGTTTTGCTTCGCCTTTCTTCAGTGACATTGAAAACCACATGTTGAAGATGACAGAATGCTAAGATGGAACAACACCTGGGTCCCTGAATAAATGCTTGAAGGAGAGATTCATACAGATCAGTGGTACCCATTTTGACATTATGTGAGCAATAAAGAAACTTATTTCATGTTTGAGACATTATACATGTTTTGGTTGCTGTATTATAACATTTACTATCAAGTAATATGACCTATCTGAATCTAAATTATCCCTTCTTTAAAATAAATATAGCATTAACCATCCAGTAATGTTATGGTGAAAAATAAATAGACCAAAAAAAAGTGTCTAGTATAATATTGAGCAAATCGGTGTTCAATAAATGCTTTTAAAAAAAATCTTAGAAAGGTTTTGAGCATAGAAGAGACATTAGAACTCTTTCTAGCCAACTTTCCCTTTTTCAATGAGAACATCGAGATGTATAAAAGATTACTACATTTTTTAACAGATTGTGTTCTGGGGGTCACAATTATTGAGTAAATTTGTGAACATTTAATGTGATATGACTAAGAAAAGTATAATTGTCATCAAGGCTTTTCATTAAACTCCTGAGAGCAGTCTATATTAGGTGAAAAGAGAAAGGACTTTGTTGCACATCTTTTTACAAGGATGAAGAAGAAACCACTTCTCGAGCCATAGTGATATAGTGAAAGAGAAAACCATTGATCTTTGCTATGGTTCTTCTGCTTCTACCTTGACATTCTGGGGCTAAACAGTTTCACTCCCACATGTGTTTGTGACTGTGAGCTAAGAGGAGTTGCAGTGGTGACTGAGGAGAGCAAAGGAGGTTCTCAGATAAATCTTAGCTACACACAAAAACCTTCAACAATGTTCCCTACCTTACTCTAGAACCAAATTCCTTTCACTCCTTACATAAATAGTGGAATCTGTAAGTAGGAAAATGTTTCATGACCTTTTCAAGTCAATTTTCACATTTTCTATTTTCATCTGTTCCCTTGTGAACTAGTTGCTTTGACTTTTTTTTTCCTTTTTGTCTCATGGAAAGACAAAGCTTTCATCATTTCCATTATGTAATAAAATTTTATCACTAATCTAATGACTAACACTACTTAGAATATCAGTGGAGCATAGATTTGGATCAAAGGGAGTGCAGCATTTTAATGAACAATTTATTCTGTTTCAGAATAAATTGTTCTATTTCAACTTATTGAAATAGAACACGCTGTTGGGTTGAACTGTTAGGTTCTGTTCAGCAAGAACTACCATCTTTAATTAATTTCATCATCTGTTCTTGATCTTACAGGATGTTCTTGGGTCCTCAACCTTACAAATTTCACCTTATACTCTGTGTGAGCAGTTTCCAGTTTGGGGATCACAAGAAAACATTATTAATTCAATGTTGCTTAAATTATACCTCTTTCTGCTGCATCAATTCTAGGCAAGGTTTCTCTCACTTTGAACTTAATTCTCATTTGGTTTCCTTTTCTCTGAATTACCTTACTATTGCAATATCTTTTTCTTTTCTCCAAATGACATCATAACTATCCCAGCCTCTTCCTAAGGAAAGTTCCTTTTCCTGCATTTGCAGATTTTGTGAAGTTACATGAAGTGACAAGTATCTTCATTTCATCTGAAATTTGTACTTGCTACCACCTTATACATACATCTTATTCTTTATTGTCTATTTCCTCAAAAATATTATCTTCTCTATTTAAATCACAAAATCTGGGTCATATTTATTTTTCCACTTTTTCGTGCTGTTGGACTTCAAAGGCCGGCAAACTCTGGCTATCATCTATTCCTGGAGAATGTCCTTGAGAAAGACGTTCTTGGGTTGCAAAACTGACAATTGCCTGGGAAAAGATTTATATCTCAAAGAGGTAGAGAGAAAATTTGTAATTATACATTTTGAAAGAAAATGATCTAAGAAAAAGGAAGTTGGGGGCCTAGAGTCAAAAAGAAACTTCTATAAAGTTTAGTCAAGATGAGAAGAAATGCTAAAGCTATCTGGATCAAGAGTCTTTATGCAGGAAAACATGACCTTTCTCTCTACTAGGTCAAGTGCAAATAAGATATGCTTTTTTGTCTCTGAGGTGACCTTAGTAATGTCCTCAAATAAGGAGTCTATATAGTCTCTGATCTGTGTAGTAAGTTACTAGAATAGAAATGACCTTTAATCTCTAATTTCTCCCCAGCAACCCGTGGTATTTATAAAATTCTTCGCTAGATTTACAAGTTTCTTTGATGAAAACAGGTTTTAAATGAGAAATGTCGAGAGAACTTGTAGGATGGGTATGGATAGGCCCCCCAAAAGACACTAGTATGATAGTTCTCAAAATGAGTTTTCCATAGGATCCAAAATTATTACAAAATTGTTTTCAGTTTACTAGAGGGATAAGGGGATTTAGAGACCTACAACTTCTTCTCTTGCAGCTTGCCATTTTCCCTTTTCCAGTTTGGAAAATGTTGGTTCGAAGCAAATATTCCAATGGCTGCAGCCCTCTCAGTAAATGAATAATCTCATTTTTTTTTTATATCTTTGAAAGGAATAGGAGAAAAAAATCAATGAATTTGTTTTCATTTCTACTCTTCTTGTCCATAGGAGTTCTGGTGGCAAAGTACATTTTAATGAATTTACCTGCGGGCCTGGTGATCCAAATTGATAATCATTCTTATTCATAACAAAATTCAATTGTCTGTGTTGATTACTGTGAACCATGAACAGGCCCAGGTACATTAATTTTACCTAGAGACTGGCTGAAATGGTCTTCCTCATGTCAACTGATGAGAAAATTCTCATTCCTTTATTCCCAGCAAGGGCACATGTCATAATCAAGCTCCTGGCACTCAATTTAAGTAGTATAATAGTATAATTTTCATCTCAGATTATACAGGGAAAAAATATTTAGAAGGGAAGCAATTCCTAGATAATTACTTAATCACTCTAGTTATGATGGGATCTGCCTGGAATCTTTATACATTCTAAAATTATTATGATTGTGTGATTAATAATCTTCTTACTCTGCATATAAACATGAGTTAAGATCTTACTTTTCCATACTTTCCAGGCACGCTTGAAGTGTTGTGAAAAAGAACTAATCAATTTCTGTTTTCACAACCAGCATCTGAGGAATAAACATAAATATGCAATAGCTTATGCAAATTTTACACACTAAATTAGAAATAACAGTAATTTAGGGAAAAAATCAAATTCATGGATTCTAGTTTTAAAAAAGTGAAATATTTCTGAATTGTGATAAGTCCTACTTTAGGAACTTTTATCAAAATAGTCTAAGGTTAGCTAGGCAGAGTTATAACTATTGGTGAGTCTATTTTTAATAAATTATAAATAATACATAATATATAACCTAACCTCTTTGGGTTTCAATGTCTTCATCTATAAACCTTAGTATTCTTTACGATATTTCAAATTAATTTGTTATGGCTCAGATATCTCTGCACATCAAGATTCAGCATTGAGAGATTTATTTAAAAAAATCTCAAGGATCAAATTGTTATAGCATAATTTTAAAACTGAGGTTTTAAGAATTTAAACATACATCCTTGTAACTGTAAAGTTTCTCTTCAAGAAGATTTCATTGAATTTATAAAAAATAGATGATATATTTTGTGTGACAATGCATTTTTTTCTTTTCTCACCATGCATTTTTTTCTTTTCTGACCATCAGTTCTTTGAATTTGGCATTATTCATCCCAATATAGACTCAACATCAAGACTACTAAGGAAATTCTATAAATGAGGGGATTCTTTTGTTTCCTTACTTAAACAACACCTGAACCAAAAAAATCATCAGAGGGTTCTTTACACCTGATAAATAAATTATTTACAGTGAAATTTTTTTCTTTTTTTCTCTGTTTTATAGTTATTGAATTCAAATACTCTATCCCAAAAGAATATTTTTAGTTTTATTTTTATTTCTCACGAAAACATAAAAGCTTACGTCACAAAAAAAAACAAAATTAAATGTTATTTTTAAAAAATAGTCTCTAAAAGTGAATGCCTTTGCAGTGATAAAGGTGCTATATATTCATTACTTTAACATAAAGTTAGAAAATGGGGTAACAGATTTGATCAATCTCTTAATTATGAGCCTACACAGCAACCAATTTATATTTAATATATACGTAAAAATTAAGCTATACAGATGGCAGGGATGTCATTGCTATCTGCTTGTTGAGGCTTAATTAACACATAGGTTTACTAAAATTCTCTCCGGTCCTGGTTACGGTCAATGAATGAGCAAAACAAACAGAGAGAAAAGAGGACTTGGTGACTCATGAATTTATATTCTATGGAGCTGATGCTCTTCACAGTGGTCACTAAAATTAGGTTAAAAATGAAAAGGGATATTTGATGATTGTCTAGATATATCTTTTCAAGCAGAGTTATCTTACCGATATTTAGGTGATAAATGACAAGGAAGCAAAATGGCTATGTAGTTAACAAAGAAGACATTTAAATATGAGCATAAGCATAAATGCACTCAACTTCTCTATAAATTTTCCTCTAAAATATTTAGGAAAATTGAAAGTTTTTTTCTTAGGCAGTGAAAAATAACAATTTATTAGGAACAAAAAACAGCTTAACAACTTAACTGGGGACATTTTGTTCATGCAGAGGCACCCTCAGTGGTCCAATGGGAGTTACTCTTCTTATTCCTTGACCAGCAGAGGGTAAGTATAATTTGTGTGTCTTTATTATCCAGGGTGATGAGGTTTTTGTTAAACCTAAATTTTGTAGAACCCAAGTCACTCACTAATTGTGTAACTAAATGTAGAATTAGACTGTAAAGGGAAAATAAAGAAGGATAAAATATTTTCTTCAGCATACTAGTGTTAGCTTTAGTTTCCTCAGGACAAAGTTTCTTATTAAATCAACAAAATTTTGGTCCAGAAACCTTATAATATGCAAGCTTCAAATGTATTGAGATTTATCTGTGCTTCAGTTAAAAAAAATACTATACTCAGAAAACACATGAGAACTATTGTCATAAAACATTCATAGCATTTATTTTATTCATTTGTCATATATTTATTTGCATGTCTTTTCAAAAATAATTTGAGTTTCTTAAGGCAGTGAAAATGTTTTATTTATTTGTTTTCTAAACATCTACAGCGACTAGGAGGTGGCCATGAGATCAGTGAATCCAAGTATTCCTGCATAATTCTATTGTTTGTGATTTAAAATTCTTAATATATTCAAAAAAAGCAATTTAAAGTGTATGTATTCTTACGTCCAAATACCAAATGTTGAAAGGCATACTCTATTTCTGTTTTGTGGTGTAGATCCTGTAGAATGTGTTTAATATGTTGGACATTTATAATACAGGATCGATGTTTACCTGTTCAAAAAAAGGAGCAGTTTCCACATTCTCCATGGGATTAGACCTGGGTCACAAAGTCCCCTAAGTGAATCACCTGTAATACTGTCATGTTGCTGTTTGATTTTTCACTCTTTGGATTTAACAAATAAGTATTCAAAATAAAATTTCTAAATGACTTTAGTCCTTGCAGTAAGGCAGCAATATTGCACCCTTGTCATGTCTTTGGAAAGAGCTAAAATTAAAAATCAATGAGACATTTATCTTCTTTGCTCTTCTTTCTTTGTGTTTATTCACAGAAGTTCTGATAACAAAGAAAGCATAATAATATATAAATTATTTCTAATGAAATTTGGGTTTTGGTTTCAGTGCCCAATTAGAACTTTGTCTCATCTACAACAATCAAATGCCCTATCTTTTTCACAGCTGTACCACAGCAACTAGAAAAGTAACAGGCACATGGTAGGTGTTTGATTAATATCTGTTCAATTAATCTTACATAGGGATGGGTTTAAATAATCTTATACTATGTCAAATGATAGTTAAATCCTCTATTCAGTGAACCCCAGTAAGTCCTTAGCTTTTAGTATAAATTCTTAGCTTTTTTTTTTGAGACAGTGTCTCACTCTGTCACCCAGGCTGGAGTACAGCGGCATGATCATGGCTCACTGCAGCCTCGACCTCCCAGGGCTCAGGAGATCTGCCCACCACAGCATCCCAGTGTAGCTGAGACTACAGGCGTGTGTCACCACTCCTGGCTAATATTTGTATTTTTGTAGAGATGGGGTTTCACCGTGTTGCCCAGACTGGTCTTGAACTCTGGAGCTCAAGCGCTCTGTCTGTCTCGGCCCCCAAAAGTGCTGAGACTACAGGCATGAGTCACTGCATCTAGTCAAGTCCTTTACTTTTAATTCATATTTTATCAGTGAAGAATTTGGTTGTAGAAGGGAAAAATTATTGATCATATCTCTTTATCACTTTGCCCAGGAAGCCTTGCCACAATTCTGATTATTTGTACATGTTTCAGTTGCAACACCTTTGTAAATAACATTCTCATAAATGTAAAATAAGGATGACTAATATTAACTGGGGCTTCTTTACACCCAGATTCTTAGTGCTCTTTATGAGTATAGTAAGAGAGATTCAATGGGTCATTATTCCTTATGGGGTCTGGGGAACAATATCAACTCTTTATCGTATATCTGCTATAGTCGACTTTGGAAAACTTACAAATTAACTCAGAAATAACTTCTCACTACATAGAAAATAACAACAAACAAACAGAGAAATGCATTCTAGGTTTATAACATTGAATGTTTTTGCACTGACATTCACAAATCCTACTTGAGGGGACAGACCTTTCTTTGTGGTACAGCTAAGCTCGATAGGATAATATCCATAAACACCAGAATACTGTCATGATTTATGTTCATACATAATTTAAGTAAAGAAGGTATGGATTATAAAATTACCTGACAAATCTGGATCTCAACATTTTTATATGTAAAATTAAATATTCTGTATGATAATTTCAGTCTAAAGTTCTGTGGTTTTGATTTCTTATTACATTGAGATTCATTGTTAATACTGGGGCCATTAAAATAGTGAATGGAATTATATAAAACTAGTACTCCTGGGGTATCAAGTGAATTGCTGCAGGACTATTTCGGATCTTGGTCACTTAGCAATTTATACCCATATTCTTGTAACTGTTAAAGTTTCTTAAAGAAACTGACTGCAAGAGAAATCAGCAGATGTAACTTTTGTGTGACAATGCAGCTTTTTCTAGTCACTATCTCTTTGAATATGGCACTATGCACCAAGCATAGAAATGTTCTCACTCTTAATAAGCTTCAGTAGTCAAAACTATGCAGAAGAATTCTTTAAATGTAAGGGTTTTTTTTTCTTGTTTCAACAACAGCTGAGTCAGACAGATGATCTGTACACTGTTTTATACCAAGAAATCATTTACAATGAAGATCCTTCTCTTTTTCTGTATTTTGCTTTTCTTTGGAGTCCTTATTCCACCAGGTAATATGAATATTATTGCTAGAGGGGTCAAGGGGCCAGCATTAAAGTCGGGGAGCTGGGTTATTTAAAGTAGAATTGACATTATAAAACATTTTATTAATACCATCATCATGTTACATTACATTTATTCACAGTTCTCAGGTAAAAATATTTGAATAATTTTTCAAGCACAGCATCCTAGAAAAGGCTGTAATTCACCTTAATTACATGAAAATATACATTCATATATATGCATATATGTAAATGATTAGAAGAAAATAATGCTACGTTGATTTCACAGATCCATGAAATGTGTATTTATTCAACACTCAAATTTAACTGAATTTGATCTATTAATAGATTAGAAAAAACTGGGAAAGTTATGAATTATGCTTGGAAATCATTGATCCCCACAGTGATATTTATAGCAGAGGTTAATCAGATAAAATGTCTTGCTAAAAGTTTCAGATTGTATTTTATTAACAATTGAGACAAGCTGCACTTGTCTACTGCTCACTTCCAGTTAAATTCTCCTTTTTCTTTATCTTGCTGCTTTCTCTGATTATCAAGATATCTTTCAGTATTGAGATCAGAGGAGGTAACCTTAAAATAAATCTGTAGTAACTCATTATTTTACTGTTATTCTGCCCTAACATTTAAACATAAATAGCTTTTTAGCTAATAATTTCTCACCAAAAGGGGACAAGGAGGTGAACTTCAGTTAATAATGTAAACCAACAAGGGAGTTAATTTAAATCAGATAATAATTTTTCTTCTTTATAAAAATTAATTAAAGTGTGCTCATTAGAATTCTCTCTATATTTAGAACTTTTCTGAGGTACAAAGAATTATACAGATTTCAATAAACACTGATAGGTTTTCTTCATAATAATGATTTTAATAGCTAGCATTTGTTCAGCCTTTTGCCTGTATTAATTTATTTTTCCTAACAATAGCCATGCAAGGTGAACTTATTAATAGCCAAGTCATTTATTCATTTAACTGGATTTTTAAACATATGTACTATATGTTTATCATTTTGTAAAACCTTTTATAATATATAGGACCATTAAATAGAGGCAACTACATTTGTGTCCTTATTTCTGAAAATATTTTTCCTCCTACTTTTAAAGTAATTTTTTCACTTTACAGTGAGCTCTTAACAACCTCTTAGCACTCTTATGAAATTATTGACAACCATATGTAGACTGAAACTTGAAAAAATGTACTCAAAGACAAATACATCTTCCACAATATTTGAAAAGGCCCGACATGGGACAGAGAAAATCAGCACAGGTAAAACAAAATAAGTAGAATTGTGTCTTGCACATTTTAATCAATACTTTTTGACTGAAATGAAGTAAATATTCTGAGTATATTCTCTACCTCAGTCCCTGTTTACTTATATGTTCTTGTCTTTCACCTCATAGCTTTATGAAGACTGAATTTCATGTTTAAAACAAGAAAGAAATCTTATTTTAAGGTTGTAGAGGCCGATTTTTTTGATAAAATGCTGGCTAGACAAATGTCCTTTTATCATTTCCATGAAGAAAGGTTTTCTAACCATTGTTCTCAGCAACATTATTACTTTTTAAAATGTTTTAATGTAATTGTGCTTAGGAATTATACTGTTGTCTCAGTTTCCCTCCTACTCAACAGCTGGACATATTTATTTTTTTTTTTTTGAGACGGAGTTTCACTCTTGTTGCCCAGGCTGGAGTGCAATGACACTATCTTGGATCACTGCAACCACCGTCTCCCGGGTTCAAGCAATTCTCCTGCTTCAGCCTCCGGAGTAGCTGGGATTACAGGCTCCCACCACCACGCCCCGCTAATTTTTTGTATTTTTAGTAGAGACAGGGTTTCACCATGTTGGCTAGGCTGGTAGCGAACTCCTGACCTGAGGTGATCTACCTGCCACGGCCTCCCAAAATGCTGGGATTACAGGTGTGAGCCACCACGCCTGGCCAAGGCAAAACTATTTTTATCAATCACTACTGTTCAAAATACTGATATTTTTGGATATAAAAAGTATATTGTTATATGAAAAGAATGATAAAGGTGTTCTGTTTATTTGAAAGCACGGTTTAATTAAGATAACTCAAAAAGGCAATTGAGCAACAAAAGTCTAGATAAGGGACTGGGAACTTAGTTTTAAAAGAATTCTTTTTGACTAAGTTTCACTGGATGTCAGCATGATGTTGGAATGGGACTTTTCAATGCTCCTTCCTTTACAGAATCACTAATTTGAACAATTATCCATGCACGAAAATGCCTTCACAAGAGCTAAGGAAACCAGGTGAGAGATTACAGCACTTGGGTAGATTACAGAAATAAGAAAAGACACATTAAAGAGGGTAGGAAAGATAGTGTCACATTGCTCATGGACCTCTCTCCCAAGCCTAGATAGCACAGCCTGGAGACAGATACCCTCCCTGTGAAGGAAAGAGAGGGAAATGACCATAGAAATTAGCCTTGGACCCAACACTGGATGCCCTTTCTAAGTAGAACCCAGCACCGAGCAGGCCCCCATGGCCTCAGACTTCAGACCAGTACCTGAAGACTGAGCTTCCAAGTCTGCTCTGGCACCAGGCCGGATCTGACAGCCTCTGGCTCTAGGCCAGCCCATCAAGTCTCAGCTCACTGCCCCTCCAGGCCTGCCCAGTAGCCCTAGTGCTAGTTCAAGCCCCACAGACTCAGGCTAGGCCCAATAATCACACTCGGTTTCCAGAGTTTCTCTAGAGCTAGGCTGGCCCCAGTGTTCCTGGGCTCTGGATCCCCCCAACACCAAGCTGACCCCCAGGTTTCAGGCTTGTCCAAGAACAAGGTGAGCTCCACAGCCATAGTCATCAGGGAAGGACCTGTGGACTCAGCCCCGAGGCCAGCCTCGGTGGATACAGGCTCCAGGTTCACTCAGTACCTGGCCAGCTCATGTAACCCTAGGCTCACCTTTATTCCAAACCTATGTTTTAGGACCCATAGCCTTTAAAGGTTCTTCCCTCTTGTCCATTACACCACTTTACCAATCACTTCAATGGCAAAATTTCCTTCAGTTCTTGTATATCAGCTTAGTAGAGTCATAGAGTAGAATACAAACATTGCTACATATATAACTAGCAAAGGGCTTAAATCTAGAATATATTTTAAAATTCTAATAAATAAATAAGAAAATGCTAGGTAATTCAGCAGAAATATGAAAAAAAGACCTAAGCCACTTGAAAGAGTGAATAAACAACCTCTTTAAAGTGCTCATCCTCACTTGCAATCAAGAAAATGCTAATTTAAACCACGATAAACTACCACCATACATTCAACAGAACATTCAAAATTTGAAATCTATCCAACAGAAGATTATTCAATATGCTTCAAGAAACAGTACAAGAATGTTAAGAGCAGCCAAATTCTCCCTGTAGCAAATAACCTATATGATCATATAAAGTTTATTAGATAAAGTGAATGCTATGTATTAATGAAAATCAGTACTGCAAACTACATCCAACCACAAAGTTCAATTTTATGAATATAAATTTAAAAATCCAGAAACAAACAAACTGTATGATTCTCTCTAAGATACACACACACACACACACACACACACACACACACACACAGTGCTCCTCAATTCATGATGGAATTATGTCTTGATAAAGACATTTTGAGTTGAAAATATCATCAATTGAAAGTGGATTTAATACACCCTACTGGCAGAACATCATAGCTTAGCTTACCCTGGCTTAAACATGCTCAGAATACTTACATTAGCCTACAATTGGGCAAAATCATCTAACATAAAGAGTGTTTTATAATAAATTATTGAATATATCATGGAATGTGTTTGATAATGTACTAAAAGCATAAAACAGAATTGTTGTATGACTATTTGTAATATTGTATCCACTGAACGTATGTCTTTTTTGCACCATTCTGAGGATGAAAAATTGAGTCAAATTATTGTAATTCGGGGACTATCAGTATAAACAGTCATGTGCTGCAAAACAGTGTTTCAGTCTATGTTTAGATACATAAATACTTACCATTATGTTACAGTTGCCTAAAGTATTCAGTCCAGTAACAGGTGCCATTTTGTAGATCAGGAGTAATAGGCTATACCTTACAGCCTAGGTATGTGATAGGTTGTACCATCTAGATTTGTGTAAGTACAGTTTATGGTGTTCGCACAAGGACAGAATCACCTAATGGCACATTTCTCAAAACATATCCCTGTCCCTAAGTGACACCTGATTGTATACACATATGTACACATTTATTTGTATGTGTGTATATATATATTTGTGTGTATATCTAGATTTATACATATTTTATGTGTATACATGTTCAAAAGCAGGCATAAAAAATGCATAATTGAGGTATACAAATATTAATATAAAGCAAAGTAAGAAAGTTAGTGTTTAATTCAAGACAGTGATTACTCTTAGGGAAGAGGGAGGGGGTTATGATGTGGCATGAGGGTGTGAAGCTTCTAGTAATATCTTGTTTCTTGATGTAGGTAGTAATCTCATGGCTATTTCATTTACAGTGCTACATTAGGCTCTGCATTTATATTTTGTGTTCTTCTCTCAGAAGGAAATACCCCTTGTGATATGTTGCTTTGTGAACAGAACTATGCTGAGGCTAATCCAATTATGAAATGTACCTTTCATATCTCAGGGTAAATATGGGCTTGAAATATTATTATTACCATTATTCATATTACTATTACTATTTGCAAATAAAATACAATTATTAGCAAAGATAACTGCATAAAGTGCTGTCTCCTAGATGACTGAGTACACATCACTGCAAATCCAGAGTATGTTAAAAGGAATATCCTCTGATAGTGTAGTCTCAAAATCCTCAGTTATTTTAAATTCTTGCTGCAAAATTTGTGGGTAATATTACTACTTTATATAAAATGATATATATGTATTTTATTTAAAAAGATGGACACGAAAATGGTTAATTACAGAATAAAAAGGTTTTTGAGATGAAAGCATACTTACAGACATCAGTGATAAGGACTTGGTCATTTTTATCCACCTTCTGAAATATGTCCAGCAATGCATGCTTATATTAGTCGAGTAATGGTAGATATGTACTTCCTAAGACAGTCTCCTCCAGAATTTTTATTAAACTTTTTAATTAATTTAAAAATTATTATATAGATTCAAAACCTGGCTCTCCAGTGATATGTGCTATGTATCTGTGGAGATACAGAGAATAAATGAATATCTGCAACTACAGATCAGAACTTCTGTTAGTGACAGAGAGACCTTCTATCTAGGTACATACATCATTCCTTATACTTGTGGAAGTTACAAAGTCGAAGAAATTATGCTGTAAAGTGAGATTAGAGACATTTTTAAAAATTTTCTATAGCATTGGAAACTTCAGGATGAAAGAGAAAAATGGCAAAGTAGAACTAGAAAATTATGAGCCTTGCTGAAATGTTCACTATGTCCACAGCTTGTGGTTATTTACTATCTCCGTATTCTAATCACCCCAAAGTGTCTATTTTTTTAGCAAAACTTCTCTTGTGCTTGGCTCTAGGGTGCAAATCCAAGAGGAGATGAGATATTTAAGGAAAATAAAATTGTATCTTTCAATATTTTAGAACTGCTCAAGTCAGGTTAAAAAGAACAATGGAATCTTAAAAAGGAAGAGAACATTTACCACAGAACAGTACTAAGAATAAATAATAAATGAGAGGATGGAGATCGTCCCACTCATATCCAATGGTTCTAGTCAATGTACAAGACAGACAGAGGAAGATTAATACATTGCAAGCCCTTCAGAAATCCCTTATTGAGTCACTACAGAATTATTTAAACTGCATAAGAATGGAACCTCTACAGTTTAGGAACTGTATACTTGTTGGTTTCCTTGATTTTCTCTGATATGGACAAAAAAATTAAAGCAAATATCCATTTCCTTTATTTCTCCTCTGTTGTCTGTGATTACTCCCATGTCTTCTTTTAAATCTTGGGAGTTCCCACCTAGATTACTAATTCCAGCTGTTCTTGCCTTCTTTCAGCCAGAAGTGAAGGGCACCATATCACCTTTAGTAGGTGGAAGTCATGTACAGCGATTGGAGGTCGATGTAAAAATCAATGTGATGATAGTGAATTTAGGATTTCATACTGTGCAAGACCTACAACTCATTGCTGCGTGACAGAATGTGACCCTACGGACCCAAATAATTGGATCCCAAAGGACTCAGTAGGGACTCAAGAATGGTACCCTAAAGACTCACGTCATTGAAGAAATCCATGCACAAGAAGATGATACATCTGAATGAAGTCCTCTCATTATTTCATCACTTCATTAATGACCTATAATTTCCATGCATGCATACCTATAATGAATAAATAATTAAATAAAATATATTTCAGCTGGACATTTTTATAAACATTGTGCTTGCTTAGAAGAAAGAATCAGAATACAAAGCAGGGATTTGAACTCTGGAATAGAAGCAGCGTGGAGAAGAAAATCCATGATGGGACCGCTAAGTTTAGTGAGATTCTGGGGCCAATTCCTTATTTAGTGTGAAAAGCATATTATGAGTCATTAGTGAGGTATTATCAAGAATTCTTTGAGGAGACTCAGGAGTGGGGACAGAGTTGATAAGAGATGTGACCCCTGAACTAGTAAAAATCGTTGCAAGAAATTTGAAGGATTATGAAATCCTCATAACTTTCTCATATTGCTTATACTTCCTGGTTATACTTTTTCTCTCTTTTTTGAAAGAATTATGAAAATAAAAATAACTGATTTTTTTTCCAAGAATAATCTCAAAAGGTAGAATAGAGGGAGACTAGGTTGAGGAAGGAAAAGAAGAATGGTAAATCCCTGTAGCTTGTGGCAATAACGATAATGTGAAATTATGATTAACTTTTTTGTTTTGTTTTGCTTTGTTTCATGTTTTTAATGTTTCCACATATTATCAGATGATTCTTATCATGCTACTTATTGGTGTCTTAGTAAATTTTAAGTTTTTAAAAAATAATGTAACAGAATTATATATGTGTGTATGCATGCTCACACATATAATTTCTATTATAGAAATTTTTGTCATACCCAGGATTTATGTGGCAAGGATGTGTTAACAAAGGCTAAATTGTGGCCTTGAGGGAAAGGGTCAGCAGTTGGTCTTAATACCTCACCTAGATTAAAGATTTTCCCCTTATTCAAACATTTTGAAATATCAACTCTAAAAATAGGTGATGGTTTTGCAGGGCTTGGTATGTGCTAAGTATTACTTAAAGAATGTCCTCTAGGCTTTGTCCTTGGCTGGCAGCCTTGGTTATTATGTGACTTACAACCTGTGGACTAAGGCCACATGAAGAAAAGGGAGCTAGTCACTTAAAATTATGTGGTAACAAGGTATTTAAGTTGAGGCTACTTGTACCTGGTAGGTTTCTTATGCTGCTGTGACATATACACATTTCAGCTTTGGGTTAATCTTATAACCAAAACATATCCTGTACACAGTACCTGGGCACATAGGGAAAAGCATCTGGGTGTCCAAATTATATATGATATTCCTGATATGTATAATACTATGCTCTCTGACCAGTGTCAATTTGGAGCTAAATAACCCTATTTGCATCTTGTGATTTTGGTTTATGATCCAAACTCTGAACCCCACTTCAGGGGTCTCACAGTATACCTATACTATAATTTAATGTATCTGTGGTAGGATAGATGAAAATTATGAATAAAGCTGCTATAATTGTATTAATGTGTGCATTCATTATTAATGGTTATATACCTAGGAGTAGAGAAGTTTCAACATAAACTGTTTATATTATTATCTTTTAGAGATATTGACAGCAAAAAATGATTAGGGCAATTTAAGTTCCCATAAGCAGTGTACCACAGTTCCAGCTGGTCCACATTTTTTCCAATTTTAGCCCTTCTGTTGTGTGTGTAAATTCATATCATCTTGGTCTTTTGGTCTTATTTCCTTTTTCCTCTCCATTAATGATGTTGATAACTTTTCCATAATTGATGTTGATACTGGCCATTAGAGATGCTCTTTTGTGAATTTGTATTTGAGTCTTGGCGACATTCTTTTTTTTTTTTTTAGTGGTTGTACCTCTTTATCCTGTTGATTTGTAGGAGTTATAAAACATTAAGTCATGATAAAAATATCAGTAAAATGAGGACAGAGGAATCACTTTAAACTGATAATGTTTTACCTATACCAAAAGCCACATCAAATGCCATATTTTACAGTGGATTATTGAACACTTTCACCCAAGTTCAGAAATAAACAAAGAATGTTAATTTATCAATACTTCCATACAACATTATACTAGAGGATTGCACCAGTGCTGTAAGTTAAGAATAGGACAAATAGTATAAGCAGTGGAAAGGAGGAAATATAGCTGTCATTATTCACATGTAACATGATTAGATATCTACTTTTTTAATATCTAGAAACTAATAGAATTAATACATCAATTCAGCAAAGTCACTAAATAAAGTCAATACAAAAAGTAAATTATATTTCTAGGCACTAGAATCAAATTGAAAACAAAATTTTAAAATGACACATTTTAGATTATTAGATATTTAAAAATAATTCCAACAAAAATGGCATCTCAAGCTACAAAATATTGTGGATAGAAATTACAGACATAAATAATTAAAGGGATATTATCTAAAACAGCCCATATTCAAATCGTCCTAATTTTTCACTAATGTCCTTTATAGTTGTGAGGCTTTTACTCTACAGAAAGTGAGGGGAGGAAAAAAAAAAGCAAAGGGAAATATAATTGTTGGCCACTTTCTTTGTTTCCTGTAAACATTTTTTCCAAACTCTGAGTATCAGTTGCCAGAACTTCTGAAATGTGAATTTAAGATCAGCAGTGAGTACTAGAACTTTGTAATTAGAGAGAGACAGCACACAGCTTGTGGCTCCAAGGAAAAGGAAGTGATGGAGAACTTTGGTGAGAGTTTGTTACCTTATCCATGAACTGAGATCCATGTGGGCGGATGGGAGATTTGATGTCATGTGGCTCTGCTAGATTTAAGGTAAAGGTAACAGATGATAAATTAGCTTTTTCCACTTCAAGCTAGCTTTTTCTGTCTCACAAGCCAGCTGAGTCTTGTAAGCAAAAATAAAAGTTATTGTGGAAGTTCTTCATCTTTATAAAAATATATCTATCTACACTTTTTTTCCGGTGATCTTTCTGTTATGGAATTGCTAGATTTATCTTGCTATTCTTTTCTAAAAAGTCTGCCATGCACTTTTATTGAAATAAAGAATAAAGATTTTTAATGGATAAAGTAAAAAAATAATTTGTATGACAAATAAATAGAATTCCTTCATTGGTCTAAAGGGAATTCTATTCTCTACTTGACCAGCAAAGATAATATACACAATATTTTTACCATTTTTATTACACAGGATAATGAGGTTTTGATAGGTTCAAAATAATTAGATTCCATATTCTTAATTGACTAGATCATTTCTTTAACCTATAGCTAGTGAAGAGAATCCAGTTTGTTTGGTATCAAACATAGAGATGAAAAAAATAGGATAAGAAGTTTAAAAGTAAGAGAAAAAAGACTTTTTCAACCTGAAATTTGACATAAGACAATTTCTAAATCTCCAATAGTTTCAAATTTAATAACTATCTTCTGCTTAAATTTGAATGATATTACTTTGCATTGCTTTTTCTTATAATATGCTTTTCCAAGAAACCATTCGGCTTGATTAAGAAGATAGCATTAGGAGAAATACCTAATGTAAATGACGGGTTGATGGGTGCAGCAAACCACCATAGCACATGTATACATATGTAACAAATCTGCATGTTCTGCACATGTACCCCAGGACTTAAAGTATAATAAAATAAATGAAAAACATTCCAGTTAAGCGATCTGGCTTTGGAGTTAGATGGACAGGGATTAAAATTCCAACACTGTCACATTTCCTTCAAATTTACAGAAGTTACTTATTTTTGTGAAACATTTCTTTTTATTTTTATAAATTAAAAACATTTTTAATGAGCTCTGAAGGCTAATTGAAATAATGTACAAAAACCGAAATTGCTACCTGGAAATTTTTTAACATTCACTGAAATTGTAAGTAATCTTTGCTGGACTTCACATTTTGGCCAATTAACAAGTGCCAGATCACGATCACATAATGGGGGAAACCTCCCAAATGATTCAATTGTCTCCCACCAGGTCCCTCTCACAACACGTAGGAATTATGGCAGCTACAATTCAAGGGGAGATTTGGGTGGGGACACAGCCAAACCATATCATGTAGGTAGGACTTATCACCTATGTAATAATACCTTAAACATTTTTCAATCTGAATTCATCCATTAGGGAAAAAAATCAGACAAATACAAAAGGAAAGATGTTCTGAAATACTGGCCTGGAATCTTCAAAACTGTTAACACAATGAATGACAATGAAAGTCTGGGAAGAGGAACTATTCTAGATTAATGGAAAATAAGGAGACATGACAACTATATAACAGGTAATCCTTACTGAGTGCTCATTCAGATAAACTAAAACATTATAAAGACCACTGTGAAAATTTGAACACAGACTGCACGTTAAAAATATGTATCTTATAAAAAATAAATTACTTGAATGGGAAAATTTTATTGGAGTTATGTGAGTATCTATGTTCTTAGGAGATACATGCTAAACTATTTACAATAGATGTGATAAGTGTTATGATGTCTGTGACTAACTCTTGAATTATTTAGCAAATAAAAATATAAATGTATTTTATAAGTGCATAAACATATACGTGTGTGTATATACAAATACATATATAGAGAGATGCATATAGATGGGAGTTAGTGAATTTAAAATGTGCAAAAAGTGAGCAATTGGTGAGTTTAGGTGAAGGGAATATAGGAGGTAATCATAACATTTAGTGACTTTTCTGTGAGTTATAATTTTTAAAATAAAATGTTAAAAATTGAGTAAGAAAATAATAAATTAAGCAATCTCCATATATTTGAAAAAGAAAAATTATAATAAAACTTAAAATTGCTTAAAAATTTATTTGCTATATATCAATATTGTAGCAAAAAATTGTTTAGGGAAAAATGCATGGCTTTAAATGAGTATACAAGGAAGAAAGAAAAGGTAAAAAGTAATGAGCTAAATGTTTTAGTTAAGACCTTGGAAAAGGACCAGAACATGGTCAAAGGAATGAGGAGGAATGAAATAGTAAAAATAAGAGGAAAAAAATACTAATGGAACAGAAAAAAAGAACCAAAAAAGACAATACTAAGTAAAAAGAACAAAGCTGGAGACATCATGCCACATGACTTTAAACTATACTACAAGGCTACAGTAACCAAAACACCATTGTACTGGTACCAAAACAGACACATAGAACAATGGAACAGAACAGAGGCCTCAGAAATAACGCCACATATCTGCAACCATCTGATGTTTGACAAACCTGACAAAAACAAGCAATGGGGAAAGGATTCCCTACCTAATAAGTGGTGTTGGGAAAACTGGCTAGCCATATGCAGAAAACTGAAACTGGATCCCTTCCTTACACCTTATACAAAAATTAACTCAAGATGGATTAAAGACTTAAACATAAGACCTAAAACCATAAAAAACCCGAGAAGGAAACCTAGACAGTACCATGCCCATAGGCATGGGCAAAGACTTCATGACTAAAACACCAAAAGCAATGACAACAGAAGCCAAAATTGACAAATGGGATCTAATTAAACTAAAGAGCTTATGCACAGCAAAAGAAACTATCATCAGAGTGAACAGGCAAACTACAGAATGGGAGAAAATTTTTGCAATCTATCCATCTGACAAAGGGCTAATATTCAGAATCTACAAGGAACTTAATCAAGTTACTAGAAAAAAACTAACAACCTCATCAAAAAGTGGGCGAAGGATATGAACAGACACTTCTCAAAAGAAGACATTTATGCGACCAACAAACATATGAAAAAAAGCTCATTATCACTGGTCAAAACCACAATGAGATACCATCTTACACCAGTTAGAATGGTGATCATTAAAAAGTCAGAAAACAACAGATGCTGGAGAGGATGTGGAGAAACAGGAATGCTTTTACACTGTTGATGGGAGTGTAAATTAGTTCAACCATTGTTGAAGACAGTGTGGAGATTCCTCAAGGATCTAGAACCAGAAATACCATTCGACCTAGCAATCCCATTACTGGGTATATATCCAAAGGATTGTAAATTATTCTACTATAAAGACACATGAACACATATGTTTATTGCAGTACTGTTAACAATAGCAAAGACTTGGAACCAACTCAAATGCCCACCAGTGATAGACTGGATAAAGAAAATGTGGCACATAAATACCATGGAATAATATGCAGCCATAAAAAAGGATGAGTTCATGTCTTTTGCGGGGACTTGGATGAAGCTGGACTCCATCATTCTCAGCAAACTAACACAGGAACAGAAAACTAAACACCGCATGTTCTCACTCATAAGTGGGAGTCGAACAGTGAGAACACATGGACACAGGGAGGGGAACATCACACATTGGGGCCTGTTGGTGGGTGGGGGCATAGGGGTGGGATAGGATTAGGAGAAATACCTAATGCAGATGACGGGTTGATGAGTGCAGCAACCCACCATGGCAAGTGTATACCTATTAACAAACCTGCACATTCTGCACTTGTATCCCAGAACTTAAAGTATAATAATAATAATAAATAAAAACTAAAAGTTTAAATATTTGTTATTTAATGACAATAACAAAATTTATGACTCAAGACTAATCAAACAAAATGAATGCATAGATGAATAATGTTATGAATAAAAATAATAATAACTATAGATATAGCTGAGGCAACCCTCTATTGGTTTTCTATTGCTGTTCTAACAAGTTACCAGAAATGTTATCTTATAGTTCTGGAGGTCAGAAATCCAAAATATGTCTCAAGGGGCTGTAATCAAGGTGTCAGCAGGGCTGTGCTCCTTCTGGAGGCTCTAGGGAAGAATCTATTTCTTGACTTTTCCAGTTTCTAGATGTCACCTGAATTTCTTGGCTCATGGTTTCTTCCATCTTCCTTTTATAAAGACTTTTGTGATTACCTTGTGCCTAACTGGTTAATTCACAATAATCTATCTCAATATCCTTAATTTATTTTATACCAGCAATGTATTATTTTCCATGTAAATTAACACATTCACTGTTTCCAGGATTCGGATGTGGATATGTAAGAAGAAAAGAGGGAAATTATTCTGCATGCTTCAAATTCAATGGCAATCAAATAGAAATTTTTAATGAAATAGATATGTCTGCAAGCCCAGCTTAAAAGAGTGATTCAAAAGACATAATTGCCTCTTTGAACGGCTATATTTGGTGTTTCCTGATACAGCGTCCAACATTAATTTGTTCAATATGTATTAGTTTAGTATTATTAGTTAATATAATAGTTAATATATCTGTTTAGTATCTCCTATAAAAGCCTTGATATCTTTATGCCTAACTTTTAAAAAAATTTCAACTTTTATTTTAGATACAGGGGTTATATGTGCAGTTTTGTTATATGAAAATATTGCATGATGCTAAAGTTTGAGGAATGGATCCCATCACCCAAGTAGTGAGCATAATACCCAATAGACAGTTTTTCAGCTCCCTCCCTCCCTTTCCACTCTAGTAGTCCATAGTGTCTTTAGTTCGCATATTTATATCCATCTGTGCTCAGTGTTTACCTTCCACTCATAAGAGATAACATGCATTATTTGGTTTTGTGTTTCTGCCTTATTTTGCTTAAGATTATAGCCTCCAATTGCATCCATGTTGATGCAAAGGACATGATGTCATTCTTTCTTATGGCTGCATAATATTCATGGTGCATATGTACCATATTTTTTTATCCAGTCTTTTGATTGGCACCTTGATTTATTCTAAGTTTTTACTACTGTGAATAGTGCTGTGGTGAACATACAAGTGCATGTGTCTTTTGGTTTACTTACTTATTTTCATTAAGTTATATGCCCAGTATTGGGATTGCTGGGTCAAATGGTAGCTCTGTGTTAAGTTCTTTTAGAAATCTCCAGACCGCTTTCCACAGTGACTGAACTAATTTTATTTCCACCAACACTGTATAAGCATTCCCTTTTCTCTGAAGCCTTGCCAGTGTTTTTCATTTTTTGACATTTTAATAATAATCAATCTGAGTGGGTGAGATGGTATCTCATTGTGGTTTTCATTTGCATTTCGCTCATGATTAGTGATGCTCAGCATTTTTTTATATGTTTGTGGGCCACTTGTATGTCTTCTTTTGAGAAATGTCTGTTCATGTCCTTTGCCTGATATTTAATGGGGTTGTTTTCTGCTTGTTGAATTCTTTAAGTTCCTTATAGAGTCTGGATATTAGGCCTTTGACAAATGAATAGTTCGCAAATATCTTTTCCCATTCTGTACATTGTCTCTGTTGATGGTTTCCTTTGCTGTGCAGAAGCTCTTTAGTTTAATTAGATTCCACTTGTCAATTTTTGGTTTTGTTGCAATTGCTTTTGAAGACTTAGCCAAAAATTATTTGCCAGGGCCAATGTTCATAAGAGTATTTCCTAGATTATCTTCTAGGATTTTTTATAATTTGAGGTCTTACATTTAAATATTTAATCCATGTTGAGTTAATTTTTTTATATGGTGAAAGGTAAGGGTCCAGCTTTGATCTGCGCACGGCTAGTCAGTTATCCCAGCACCATTTATTGAATAAGGGAGTACTTTCCCCATTGCTTATTTGTGTTGGCCTTGTCAAAGATCAGATGTTTATATGTGTGCAGCTTTATTTCTGACTTTTTTACTGTTCCATTGTTCTATGTGTCTGTTTTTGTATCTGTACCACATTAATTTTGCTACTGTAGCCTTATAGTATAGTTTGAAATTGGATAGTATGATACTTCCTGCTTTGTTCCTTTTGCTGAAAAATTCCTTTGGCTATTAAGGCTCTTTTTTGATTCCATAAGAATTTTAAAATAGTTTTTCCTAATTCTGTGAATAACTGATGTTGTTAGTTTTATAAGAATTGCACTGAATCTATATATCTATAGTGTGGCCATTTTTATGATATCGATTCTTCCAATCCATGAGCATGGAATGCTTTTCTATTTATTTGTGTTATCACTGATTTCTTTCAGCAGTTTTTTTTTTTTTTTTTTGTAGTTCCTTTTGTAGGGATCTTTCACCTCCTTGGTTAGACATATTCTTAGGTATTTCATTTGCTATGTGGCTATTATGCTATTATAAGTGGGATTGTGTTCTTGATTTCACTCTCAGCATGTATGTTGTTCATGTGTAGAAATGCTACTGATTTCTTTGATTTTTTTAATACTGAAACTTTACCAAAGTCATTTATTAATTCTACATTCTAGAAGCCTTTTGGCAGAGCCTTTAGGATTATCAAGGAGTAGGATCATATTGTCAGTGAAGAGAAATAGTTTCAGTTCTTCTTTTCCTAATTGGATGCCTTTTATTTCTTTTCCTTGCCTGATTGTTCTTGCTAGGACTTCCAGTACTATGCTGAATAGGAGTGGTGAAAGTAGACATCCTTGTCTTTTTCCTATTCTCCAGAGGAATGATCTGAGCTTTTCCCATTCAGTATGATGTTGGTTGTGTTTGTCATATATGGCTCTTACTATTTTCAGATACGTTCCTTCAATGTCTAATCTCTTTAGGGTTTTTATCATGAAGGTGTGTTGGATTTTATTGAAAGCTTTTTTCATGACTATTGAGATGATCATATGGCTTTTGCTTTTAACTCTGTATATATGGTGAATCACATTTATTAATTTATGTAGGTTGAACCAGCCTTGCATCCCAGGAATAATGACTACTTGATTGTGGTATATTAACTTTTTGATGTGCTGCTGGACTTGGTTTATTAATATTTTGTTGAGGAGTTTTGTGTCTATGTTCATCAGCGATATTGGCCTGAAGTTTTCTTTTTTCACTCTATCTCTGCCAGATTTTGGTATCAGGTTGATGCTGGCTTCACAGAATGAGGTAGGGAGGATCTCCTACTCCTCAATTTTTTGAAATAGTTTCAATATGATTGGTACCCGTTCTTTTTTGTATGTCTGGTAGAATTCAGCTGTGAATCCATCTGACCCAAGGCTTTTATTGTTTGGTAGTTTCTTTGTTACCTATTCAGTTTCAGAAGTTGATATTGGTACATTCCTGGTTTCAACCTCTTACTGATTCAATCTTGGGAGATAGTGTGCATCCAGGATTTTATCCACTTCCTCTAGATTTTCTAATTTGTGTGCATTGAGTTCATAGCAGTCTCTCAGGATCTTTTGTTTGTCAGTGGGATCAGTCATAATATTGCCTTTGTCATTTCTGATTGTGTTATTTGGATCATCTCTTCATTTTTCTTTGTTAATCTAGCTAGGGTTTCTATCAATTTTGTTTATTCTTTTGAAAAGCCAACTCGTTCTTTTGCATGGATTTCTGTCTCAATTTCATTCAGTTTTTCTCTAATTTTAGTTGTTTCTTTTATTCTGCTAGCTTATAAATTGCTTTCTTTTTTTTCTAGTTCCTTTAGGTGCAAATTAGATTGTTAATTTGAGATATTTCTAATTTCCTGATGAAGGCATTTAGTGCTACAAACTTTCCTCTTAGTGTCCTTATTTTGATGTTCACCCAAGAGTTACTCAGGAGGAAGACTTTTAATTTTTAAGTATTTGTGTAGTTTTGGGAGATCTTCTTGAAATTGGTTTCTGTCTTAATTGCACTGTGATCCAAGACTGTGTTGGTTATGATTTGATTTTTTTAAATTTATTGAGAATTGCTTTATGACTTAGCATGTAGTCAATCTCAGAATATGTTCTGTGTGCAGATGAGAAGAATGCATATAGTGTGGTTGCTAAGTAGGGTGTTCTGTAGGTGTCTGTAGGTCCAATTGGGCAAGTGTTGCATTAGAATTCAGAGTGTCTTTGTTAGTTTTCTGCCTCCATGATCTATCTAATGCGGCCAGCGGGGTGTTGACACCTCCCACTATTATTGTGTGGCTGTCTAAATCTTTTCATAGGTCAAGAATAACTTGTTTTATGAATGTGGGTGCTTCAATGTTGCGTGCATACGTATTCAGGATAATTCAGTCCTCTTTTTGAATTGTACCACTTATTATTATCTAATCCTCTTCTTTGTTTTTCTTAACTGTAAAACATTTAAAGTCCATTTTATCTGATATAAGAATAGTGACTCCTGCTTTCTTTTCCCATTTGCATGATAAATCTTTCTTCAATCCTTTACATTGAACCTCTGAGTATCATTACATGTGACATTACTCTCTTGAAGATGGTAGATGGTTGGGTCTTGTTTTTTTATTCTGCTTACCTCTCTGTTTCTTTTAAGAGGGGTGTTTAGCCAATTTACATTCAGGGTTAGTATTGATATGTGAGATTTTGAACCTGTCATCTTGTTGTTAGTTAATTTTTATGTAGACTTGGTTGTGTAGTTGCTTTATAATGTCTGTAAGCTATGTGTTTAAGTTAGTTTTTGTGTCAGCAGGTATCATTCTTTCGATTTCATGTTTAGCATTCCCTTAAGGACATCTTGGAAAGCTCTTCTAGTTGATATGAATTCTCTCAGCATTTGCTTATCTGAGAAGAGTTTTATTTTTCCGTTACTTATGAAGCTTTGTTTGGTGGGGTATGAAATTTTTAGTCGAAATTTCTTTTCTTTAAGGTTTCTGAAAATGGCCCACATCTCTTCTGGCTTGTAAGGTTTTTGCTGGGAGGTCTGCTGCCAGTCTGATGGTGTCCCCTCTGTATGCGACTTCACCTCTCTCTGTAGCTGCCTTTAAGATTTTTTCTTTTGTGTTGACCTTGGTGAGTCTGATGAATATATGCCTTGGGGATGGTCATCTTGTATGCTATCCAGATGAGATTCCTGTATTCCTTGAATTTGCATGTCAACCTCCCTAGCAAGATTAGGGAAATTTTCATGGATTATATCGTCAAATATACTTTCCAAGTTGCTTATTTTCTCTCCTTGTCTCTCAGGGATGCCAATAAGTCATAGATTTGGTCTCTACATAATCCTGTATTTCTAGAAGGTTTTGTTCATTTTAAAAAATTCTTTTTTTCTTTATTTTTGTCTGACAGCTGATTTGAAGAACTGGCTTTTGAGCTTGAGATTCTTTCCTCAGCGTGGTCTGTTTTGCTGTTAATTATTGCCAATTGTGTTATGAAATTCTTATAAATTTTTCAGCTGAAGAAGTTCAGTTTGGGTCTTTCTTAAAATGGCTACTTCATCTTTCAGCTCTTGAATCATTTTACTGAATTACTTGGCTTACTTGGATTGGGCTTCAACTTTTCTTCTGCATCTCCATGAGCTTCCTTTCCATCTATATTCTTAATTCTATGTCTGTTATTTCATTCGTTTCAGCCTAGTTAAGAACCATCGCTGAGGAGCTAATGGGTTCTTTTGGAGTTAAGGGGACACTGGCTATTTGAATTGCCGCAGTTCTTGTGCTGATTCTTTCTTATCTGGGAAGGTTGGTCTTCATTCAACTGTTGCGTAAATTGAATATATATTGAGTTGGCTTTATTTCTGTAAGTTTTCACAGGATTAAGGCTTTGTCTAGGGTCTCTGTTGTTGATTTCTTGCCCTTGGTTTTGCTAAGGAATAATTCGTTTTTTTGTTATTGTAGTTTGCGCTGCGTCCTGTAGATGGTGCTTGACAACAATGGGCGGTAGACGGACTGTCCCTCAGCTGCGTGGCTCCTTTGTGTATCCTTGCATTTGCAGCTGCACTTTGCGGTGCCAGGTGGAGAGAGATGACGCGCTCACCAGATCCACTCCTCAGCCTTGAGGAAGCCACCTCTGATCACTGGCACTATGCCTGCGTTTTTGTTGTCCTTGATGTTGTTGTTAGGGTTTCAGGCTGAGGGGCTGCCCCTATAAGAGGTCCAGCAGGGAAATAGGCCGCTCGCTTACCAGACCAGAACAGTGGAGGGAGCCATGCCCAAACCTCACACCAGCCCGCGAACTTGCATAACTCATCCCTCTTAGTTTTCTGTGTATGTGAGCTTCTCCCTGGCTCCAGTGCTTGCAGACATCCCCAGCACTCCTTAGCTGCAGGCTGCAGCCCTGAAACACCAGGACTTGCTTGGGGCTTCTCCCTTCTCTGGACCTTCAGGGTTGCGTTCTGGGTGTTTTGGGGGATCCAAAAGGATTCCAGGCTGCCAAAATTCCTTCAGTCGGAACAAAGCACCCAGGCCGGGCAGTAGAGCATGCGCAGTGTCTATATTTCTGTGGGATGGCCAGGCGGGAGCCCTGGGAGGGACTGGCGGGCAGGCGGGCCTTGCAGGACCTTCGTGCCCCATTCCCGCGGGGAAACTGGCTCTGCTATCTCCCGTTCTTGTGGTTAGCTGAGGACAGAGCCTCTCAGAGTGACAGAGAGCCCTGGGATGGGCATCCATAGCGGAGCTCAACCGGAGCTCTCCCGCACACAAAGGTCCCTGGCTTGGTGCCTGCTGAAGCCCCATCTCTGTCTAATCTCTGGGAAGATGCCCCTGCCAGTTCAAACGTCCATGCGGGGTGTCTAGCTCTGTGGTTCAGCCTGCAGTGCAGTGGCACAATCTCGGCTCACTTCAACCTCTGCCTCCTGGGTTCAAGCTATTCTCCTGCCTCAGCCTCCTGAGTAACTGGAATTACAGGCATGCACCACCACACCCGGCTAATTTTTTGTATTTTTAGTAGAGATGGGGTTTGACCATGTTGGCCAAGCTGGTCTTGAACTCCTGAACTCAAGTGATTCACCCACTTCAGCCTCCCAAAGTGCTAGGATTACAGGCGCAAGCCACAGTGCCTGGCCCCATCATGTTTTATTAAAGGGACTGTCCTCTCCTCAATTATGTTCTTGGAACCTTTCTCAAAAATGAGTTCACCGTAGATGTATGGATACATCTTTGGGTTTTCTATTCTGTACCAGTGATCTACATGCAGTTATGCCATTACAATGCTGTTTTGGTTACCATCACTCTGTAGTATAATATGAAGTCAGGTAATATGATTCCTCCAGTTTTGTTCCTTTTGCTTAGGATGGCTTTGGCTATTCTGGGTCTGTTGTGGTTCTATATGAATTTTAGGATTTTTTTTTTCTATTTCTGTGAAGAATGTCATTGGTATTTTGGTAGGGATTCTATTGAATCTGTAGATTTCTTTGGGTAACATGGTCATGTTAAAAATATTGATTCTTCCAAACAATGAACATGGAATATTTTTCCATGTTTTTTTGTCTTTTTCAATTGCTTCCCTCAATGCTTTATGGTTTTCATTGTAGAGATCTTTTACTGTTTTGGTCACATTAATTCTTAGGTATTTTATTTTTCTTGTAGTTTGTGTAAATTGAATTAGTTTCTTGATTTCTTTCTCAGATTGTTCATGGTTGGCATATAGAAATGCTACTGATTTTCGTATGCTGATTTTGTATCTTGCAATTTTACTGCATTTTTATATCAGTTCTAAGTTTTTTTGGTGGAGTCTTCAGGACTTTCCAAATATGAGATCATATCATCTGCAAACAAGGAGAGGATAATTTGACTTTTTCCTTTCCAATTTGGATGGTCTTTATTTCTTTTTCTTGTCTCATTACTATTTGTATGACTTCAGTACTATGTTGAACAACAGTGGGGAAAATGAGTCTCCTGGTTGTGTTCCCTATCTTAGAGGAAGATTCAGCATGAGAGCTGTAGGTCTGCTGAATATAGCTTTTATTATGTTGAGGTATGTTCCTTGTATACCCAGTTTTTTGAAGGTTGTTATCATGAAAAGATGTTGAATTTTATCAAATGCTTTTTCAGCATCAATTGAAATTATCATATGATTTTTGTCCTTTATTCTGTTTACATGATGTATCACACTCATTGATTCAAGTATGTTAAACCATACTTGCATCCCAGGGATAAATCCCACTTGGTCATGATGAAAGATCTTTTTAACGCATTGTTGAATTCAGTTTGCTGGCATTTTGTTGAGGATTTTTGTATCAATATTCATCAATGATATTGGCCTATAGTTTTCTTTATTTGTTATGTCTTTGTTTGATTTTGGTATCATGCCTCACAAAATGATTAGGAAGTATTCTCTCCTCCTCTATTTTTCATAATAGTTTGAGTAGGATTGGTATTAATTCTTCTTTAAATGTTTTGTAATATTCAGCAATGAAGCCATTGAGTCCTGGGCTTTTCTTTGTTGTGAGACTTTTTATTACGGCTTCAGTCTCATTACTTGTCTGTGGTCTGAATTTCTTCCTGGGTCAATCTTGATAGGTTATATGTGTCTAGAAATTTATTCATTTTTCTAGATTTCCCAATATAATGGCATATAGCTGCTTATAGTAACCACTAATGATCCTTTGAATTTCTACACTACCAATTGCAATGTCTCCATTTTCATCTTTGATTTTATGTGTTTGGGTGTTCTCTCTTTCTTTCTTAGTTTGGCTAAAGAGTTGTCAAATTTTTGTAAACCTTGAAGAAACCAACTCTTTGTTTCATTGATCTTTTGTATTTTATTTCATTTATTTTTCATCTGATCTTTATTGTATCTTCTACTAATTTTGGGTTTGGTTTGCTCTTGCTTTACTAGTTCTTTAAGATACATTGTTAGGTTGTTTATTTGAAGTTTCTCCACCTTTTTGATGTAGGCACTTATAGCGATAAACTTCTCTCTTAGTATTGCTTTTGCTGTATCTCATAGGTTTTGATATGTTGTGTTTTCATTATCATTTATTTCAGGAAAAATTTCAATTTTCTTCTTAATTTCTTCATTGACCCACTGGTCATTCAGGAGCATATTGTTTAATTTCCATGTGTTTGTATAGTTTCCAAAATTCCTCCTGCTGTTGATTTCTAGTTTTATTCCATGGTGGTCAGAGAAGATGCTTGATATAATTTTAATTTTTTGAATGTTTTAAGACTTCTTTTGTGACCTAACATATGGTCTATCCTTGAGAATGATCCATGTGCTTACAAAAAGAATGTGTATTCTGCCTCCATTGGAGGAAATATTCTGTAAATGTCTATTAGATACATTTTGTCTATAGTGCAGATTATATCTGATGTTTATTTGTTGATTTTCTGTCCAAGAGATCTGTCCAATGCTGAATGTGTGGTGTTAAAGTACACAACTATTATTTTACTGGGGCCTATCTCTCCCTTTAGCTCTAATAATTTTTTTTCATATGTGGGGTCTCCAGTTTTGGGTTCATACTTACAATTAATATGTTCTCTTGCTGAATTGACCCCTTTATCCTTATATAATGACCTTCTTTGTCTCTTTATAAAGTTTTGGCCTTGAAATGTATTTTTTCTCATGTAAGTATAGCAATTCTCAGTCTTTTTTGGTTTTCGTTGGCATGGTATATATTTTCCCATCCATTTATTTTTAGTCTATGTGTGTCATTATAGATGAAGTGTGATTCTTGTAGAAAACAGATTATTGGGTCTTGTTTTTTTGTTTGTTTGTTTTTGTTTTTGTTTTGAGACAGAATTTCACTCTTGTTGTCCAGGCTGGAGTGCAGTGGCGCGATCTCAGCTCACTGCAACGGGTTCAAGCGATTCTCCTGCCTTAGCCCCCTGAGTAGCTGGGAATAAGAGCTGGTATCTCAGGCTCGCGCCACCACACCTGGCTAATTTTTTTTAATTTTTAGTAGAGATGGGGTTTCATCATGTTGGCCAGGCTGGTCTCAAACTCCTGACCTCAGGCGATCCCCAAAGTGCAGGGATTATAGGCATGAGCCCATAAGCCACCACGCTCGGCCTGTTTTTTTTTTGTTTGTTTGTTTTTAATCAATTCAGCCACTCTATGTCTTTTGATTGGAGACAAGTAAGTACTTATTCCTGCTATTTTGCTACTTGTTTTCTGGTTGTTTTGTGGTCTTTCCTTTCTTCCTCTCTTCCTTTTAGTGGAGGTGATTTTTTCTGGTGATATGATTTAATTTATTGATTTTTATTTTTGTACATCTGTTATATGGTTTTTGATTTGAGGTTACCATGAGGATTGCAAATACAACCTTATAACTCATTATTTTAAGCTGGTAACAACACTGTTTGCATAAAAAAAAACTAAACAAGCAAAAATAAAATGAATTAAAACTCTACACCCCAACTTCATCCTCCTGCTTTTAAATTTTTGTTATTTCTATTTATATTTTATTGTACTATGTCTTGATGGTCTTAGAAAAGATTTGGAATAATACTCTGGATTACCTAGTAGAGACTCTTCTTCTCTTCTGTTACCTTCTCCCAAACAAATGGAGTATCTCTCTTTTCTGAGCTAACTGTAGCTGGGGATGAGGTGACACAAACACCTCTGCCGCCACCACCACTGGGACTTCACTGGATCAGACCTGAAGCTAGCATAGCACTGGGTCTTACCCAAGGCCCTCTGTAACCACTAGCTGGCTACCACTTATGTTCACTCAAGGTCCTGGGTCTCCACAATCAGCAGATGGTGAAGCCAGTTAGGCTTGTGTCCTTCCCTTCAGGGTGGCAAGTTCCCTAAAGCCCTGATGTGGGGAGGTATCCAGAGGTACCACCTGAGTGCCAGGGACTGGAGTCAAAAACCTTAGACGTCTACCTGATATTCTATTATACTGCAGCTTAGCTGACACTCAAACCCCAATACACAGCTCTTCCCATTCTTCCCTCCCCTTTCAACAGTCAGAGGAGCCTCATCCCATAGGCACTACTACCACAGGCCCACAGGGAATACTAACAGTCTACCATGGATGTTCCTTTAAAGTCCAGGGGCTCTTTAGTCAGGTTGTGGTAAATGCCACCAGGCCTGAGACTCACCTTTAAGGACAGTGCTCTTCCCTCTTTCCAACAGCTTGTCCAGAAATGCAACCCAGGAGCCAAGGCCTAGAATCTGGGACCCCAAGAGCCTACTTGGTTTTCTACCCCTCTGCAGCTAAGCTGGTACCTAAGGTGCAAGACAAAGCACACTTTACCTTTCTCTCTGCTTTTCTTAAGCAGAAGGAGTCTCTCTCCATAGCCATCACTCCTGGGAATGTGCTAAGTCTTACCTGAAGCCAGCATATCTCAGAGTCTCTCCCAAGGCCCTCAGGTAATTTCCATTCAAGGCAGTGGGTTCACTTCCAGCTCAAGGTGTGTCTAGAAATGTCACTCAGGAGCTAGGGCCCGGAAAGGGGGCCTCGTGACTCTGGTTCCCTATCTACTGTGCAAAACAATGACCTCCTTACTCATCTCTCTCCTACCCTCACATGGAAGGAAGTATCTATTGGATCTGTGTGCTATGTAGCCTGGGGTTAGGGGAGAGGTGATGCCAGCATTCTCTTAGCCACCTCAACTGGTGTCTCAATAGGTCTCATGTTCCTCACATTCACTGGCTCTGAGCCCGGTTCAGCACTAGGACTCACATAGGAGTTGCAGTCCTTGTGGCCTAGACTGCCTTTCAAGTTTATTCGGAGCCCAGGGCACTTTAGACTATAGCGGCAAGGCTTGCCAAGAATCAAATTCTACCTTCTGGCTAGGGCTGGTTTCAATACTCCTTCCATGAGTGGGCATCAGCTGGGTTCAACCCAGTTTTGCTTTCTGCTATGTCAGAGCAGCACTGAGTTCAATGCAGTGTCTCACAGTTGCTGTTCTCTCCCTCTCTCAAGCACATGATTCTTTCTCTGCACCACTCAGCTACTGTCAAGGGATGAAAAAAGGGGGTGGTATCTGTGATTTAAGACTGTTTCTCCTACCCTCTTCCAGTGCCTCTTTCAGCATGAAATTAAAACCAGGTGCTGTGAGTGCTCACCTGATTTATTTATGAAGGTGCGTTTTCTTGTTTAGATAATTGTTAAATTGGTGCCCTTGCAGTTGGGGGTGGTAAGGGGACTATAAGTGAAGCCTTCTCTTCCACCATCTTGCTCCAACCTTCCTCAGTTTCTTGATAGTAAGTTTTGAAGTTAGGAAGTGTGAGTCCTCCAACACTGTCCTTTTTCAAGATGATTTCTGCTATTTAGGTTTCTTGCATTTTCATATGCATTCACTGTATCTCATAAGTTTTGGCACATTGTATTTTTGTTATTATTCATACTAAGCATATTCTAATTCATCTTTGGATTTACTTTTGAACCAGTGATTATTTTGGAGTATATTATTTAATTTTCAGTTATCTGTAAATTTTTTTTATTTTTCTTCAGTTACAGATTTTAAATTTATTCCATTGTAGTCAAAGAAGGTACCTTGTATAATTTCAATTTTTAAATATATTGACACTTGTTTTGTGACCTAATATATGACTATCATAGAGAATGTTCCATATTCATTTGAAAATAATGTGTATTTTGCTTTTGATAGATGGAATATTCTACAAGTATCTGTTGGTCTAGTTAGCGTACAAGGTTGCTAAAGTTTTTCTGTTTCCATACTGGTCTGTCTAGTTTTTGCATCCATTATTGAATGTGGGGTATTATTGACCTCAAGTATTATTTTTATTGTCTATCTATCTTTCCTTTCAATTCTGTCATGTATTACTTCTTGCATTTCAGAGCTTTAATGTTAGGTACACAAATATTTGTAATTTCTCTATATTCTTGATGAATTGACCATTTTACTATTATCCAATGTTATTCTTTGTCTCTGGTAACAATTTTTTTCTTAAAGTCTATTTTCTGTTATGTCAGTTTAGTCTCTCCAGTTTTCTTTTGCATAGGATATCTTTGTCCATTCTAATAGCAAAACCAATTGATAAGGGATAAATGCTCTGTATTAGAGATACAGTTATCTTTTTTTTTTCTTTTTAACCTTTGTCAATAGAGTACTTTCTATTCATAGGAATCCTTTCTTAGTCTTCTGTATGTTTTCTGACTGCAACAAGATGAAATCAATTCAAAATCAATTTGAAATCAATAACTGAACTCTTAATTTTAGTGCTCAATAATATTTGTTGAGTTAAGTGTTGCATAGTGATATACTGAAGTGGTCTTCCTCCTATCAACTAATGCTGCATTCTCAATTTTTCTTTTCTTTCCCAGAAAGGAAATAGATAACTCAAGTTCCCCATAATTGATTTAGTCCAAAAGTTGTTATTTTTATTTTATAATATGAAGCATTTGTTGCAAAGGATAACAATTACTAGGTAAATAAGTTCATCTATCTTGATTTTACTTTTCTCACCAGTAATGTGAGTATATTTGATTAGAAACTCTAAGCAGCTTTTAATTCTTTATTAATGTATGCTGCAGATTCTATGACTCTGTGAAACATTTTTCCTAGACATTATAGAATGAATGAGTTAGGTTTCCTAGACTAATATGTGGTCCCTTTCAGCAGCATTAGCATTCAATGATCTTGTTAGAAAAGCAAATTTTAGTCCCTATTCCAGATCTACTAAATCAGAAATGCCGGGGGTGGGACACTGCAATCTGATTTTAGCAAGCTTTCTAAGGGATTCTGATGCAGCTAAAGTTTAGGAACCACTGTCTTAAAAATTAACTATGTGGTAGGAAATAATTGATTAATTGATTTCTTTTTCTTTCTTTTTTTTTTTTTTTTTTTTTTTTGAGAGGAAGTCTCACTCTTTTACCCCAGGCTGGAGTGCAATGGTACAATCTTGGCTCATTGCAACCTCTGCCTCCCAGGTTCAAGTGATTCTCCTGCCTTGGACCCCTGAGTAGCTGGGATTACAGGTGCCTGCCACCATGGCCGGCTAATTTTTGTATTTTTAGTAGAGACGGGGTTGTTTCACCATGTTGGCCAGTCTGATCTAGAACTCCTGACCTCAGGTGATCCACCCGCCTCAGCCTCCCAAAGTGCTGGAATTACAGGTGTGAGCCACCACACCTGGCCAATTGTTTTTCTTTATAGCATCAGCTTCTGAGTACTGGGCAAAACTTCCAGCTCTTTCTCACATATCCAAAATAATAGTTTTTGCAAGCATGCAATTTAGATCAGATATGAAATTTTCAGTTCCATAAACAGAATTAAAACATTGAACCTGAAATTTTGAAATCAGATGACTATAGAAAATTTATGAATCATACAAAGACTTGGCCGGGCATGGTGGCTCATGACTGTAATCCCAGCACTTTGGGAAGCCGAGGCGGGTGGATCATGAGGTCAGGAGTTTGAGACCAGCCTGACCAACATGGTGAAACTCTATCTCTTTTAAAAATACAAAAATTAGTCAGGCGTGGTGGCAGGCACCGGTAATCCCAGCTACTCAGGAGACTGAGGCAGGAGAATCACCTGAACCTGGAAGGCAGAGGTTGCAGTGAGCTGAGATGGTGCTACTGCACTCCAGCCTGGGTGACAGAGCCAGACTCCATCTCAAAAAAAAAAAAAAAAAAAAAAGACATATAGAATATTTCTCACATTTTTAGTGAATCCAGAATTTACTGATTATTTAAATAATTGCATATTATATTAATTGAAATAAAGTTATTTAATCTCCCTGGTTCTCATTGTTTTATCAGCAAAACAAAACTGATCTCAATGGAAACTTTTTCTCTAAAATCTTATGATTCAGGCATTCAACAATTTTATACTAAGGCATTAGAATACTTAATATTACATATAACATAGAATAGAGGAGATGATTACTATAACATTTAGCAATCCAAACACATATCCCCTATAAATAAAATATCTTAAAAACTGTGTTGTTTTCATGAAAGTCTAGTTAAGGTTACACAGCAGGTTTTACTTTTATGAGAAAAATTTAATAATACTTTTTGAGTTCATGTTCTTTGAGGGTGGCACTATTCAACCAAGCATACAAATGTTCTTGCTCTTGATAAGCCTCAGTGGTTAAAAGTACTTCCCAGGAGAATCCACAAATAAAAGGGATCTCTGTTTCCTTATTTCAAAACAACTGACTTGAAAAAGGAGGTCTGTTGCCCCCTTTTTTTAAGAAACTCTCTACCATGAAGATTCAACTTTTTTTCTTTATTCTGCACTTTTGGGTCACAATTTTACCAGGTAATATGCAAATATTTGTGGGGATTTATACTAACAAATTTGAGAAGACATAAGTTGTTTCTTGATAAAAAATATGATAATAACATAGGGATTAAAACATCATTTCACAAAAATGTAATGTGGTATTTTAGATTGGACTCCAGAACAGATAATAAAGACAATAGTGAAAAACAGACAAAAATAACAAGTATGAAAACTGGCAAAATCTGAATAGCTTAGTAAATACTATTACATCAACATTAATTCGTTAATCTTAATTAACATTACCAAGTTTATGCAATATATAACATAAGTGGAAGCTGGCTTCCACCAACTTTGCAACTCTTCTGTGAATCTAAAATAATATCATAACAAAAAGTGATGTGAGACAGAAATGGAGAGAGATTTTACTTTGTTGAAAGTAATGATCAGAGACTTCAGACAGATTGGACTTGAACAATGTATTTGAAGGCAGAAATAATAATTATTGAAATATCGAAGTATCACTAGACCAGTGGTTCTCAGAGAGGAGTGAATTTGTGCTCAAGGGAACATCAGGCAACGTCTAGAGACCTTTTAGCTCATCACAACTTGTACTACTGGCACAGTACCAGTTGTAGATAGAACCCAGGATGCTGCTAAATAACCTACAATGCATGGAACAGCCCCTTAGAGCAAAGAATTGTCCTATTCAAAAGATCAATATTGCTTAGAGTGAGACACCATGCCCTTGAGCTTGGCATCCAATTGACAGGGAGTATATTTAATTGATACTATTTGAATGAGGAGATGAATGCTTGCAAAGGAGATTAGCAATCCAAGGACACAAACTGGAGAACACATGTAGAGGTCAGAATGAGGAGAAAGAAGACAATAATGTTTTAGAAAGGTGAAATAAGACAAAGAATGAATAAGAGAAGGGGTGGGGTCAGTCCAAGGTGCATTCATGGACAACAGTGCCAAACATGACAGAACTTTTGCCAAAAGTGAGTATAATTCAGGTGTCTGTCACGGGTAATCACATATGGGTTTGATAATAATAACTCCTCAGAAAATGTAGAATAAGTAATGATCTTTAGAAGTGAATATTTAAATTGTGCAGATTAACTAGATGCTCTTCTATGCTTTTGTTTCTTTAAGTTGCTTCATACTCTGAATTGCTTTGGTTACATTGAGAAGAAAGCCAATATTAATAGTAGGACTTGGTTTTATAGCCATTATACCAATGACATAGATAATGTAGCTCTGAGTCTATGTATTAGCTAACAGGTATTACTACTCACCATCAGGTGTCAGCTGTTGGAACTGCAGACAGACTGCCTAGGCCAAAAGGCCTGGCCTTTGAGAAGACCAAGCAATAATTAATAGCAGGAAACAGTGGCATAATTTATTTGTTTTCATATGTGAAAATATTAAATCTGTCCTTTGGTCAAGAATTTGATGTGTATACAAAAAAAAAAGGCTACAAAACAAATGACTTCTGAAAACGAATCGGCCAGGGTACAATTTAAAATATAAAATAAAAAAATTTTGACTTGGTACAATTTAAAATATAAACTTAAAAAAATTGACTTGGAATAGATCACATAACCAATCAAACCAATGTCCTCAAACCCCCTAAATATATTCAATTCTAAATAAGAAACTTCTAGTGAGAGTCCATCTTTAAGCTAAAAAAAAAACATATCTTTTCTTACAGCTTTGACTATTACAAAGTTATTTTTGTATTGTGTCAAATTTTGTGTTTCTTATAATGTGCAAATTTTAGTTGCAGTTTTGCTCTCCTGGACATGTCTTCTTGTGACCCCAGCTACAAATCCCTCACCCATTCTTTCATGATTGATAAGAAAATATAAAGCCAGAGTAGGAGTTAACACACTTTTTCTAGAAATAAGTGAGACAACCAATATTGTAGGTTTTATGAACCCTATGATCTCAACTGCATTATTTTAATGCAAAAGCAGTTATAGACAATGTGTTAGCAAATGGGTGTGTCTGCGTGCCACTAAAATTACTTCCAAAAATAGGTGGCAGGGTGGATTTGGCTCCCTGACAATAGTTTATTGATTCCTAGTCAAAAGGTTTAATAGTACACACAGTAATTGACAGAAATTGTTTGTAAGTTATTATTTTAGAAACTTTTTTGTGAAAGAAAAAAAAAGGTATCACTGGTAATTTCAGAAATCATGTAATGGTTAACAATGGCTCCACTTTTTTTTTCTTTATCAATGTTGTTATTAGACACATGTCTGAGTTAGATGATTTCTTTGGGAAATAAACCCCAAATATTCAGGGGAGTTGCAGGAATTTAGACAAATTCACTAGCGTTGCCTAGCTCTTGACATTTTAGAGAAGCAAAATCAAGCTACAGTGAAAATCACTTGAAGAAGAATTCATAAAGCACAACATTCAGTCTAAATAATGTTAGTGAGAGCAGAGAACAGGCAGCTCAAATGCAATTAGATGATTGCAGAGAGAGAGTCTGACCAAAAGATAAATTATGGTCACTTTTTTTCCATTGATTTAGGGAACCATCCTTGGGTCACTGCCCAGTTTCTTGTAAGACAGAAAGTGGAAACACCTAACTTAAGTCCAAGACCCTTTTTATTTCTAGAATGTAGCTTGTACCAAGGGACAGTAAATTCACTTAAACTTTCCTCCATAGGTAGGTGGACATTTTCACTCTATAATCTTTTGCTTCATGGACTTTCTCCTTTTAAAACATGGATGTGTCATAGCTAGATGGCTAATTTTAGTCATTCTTCCCTTCTTACAGCCAAAAAGAAATATCCTGAGTATGGTAGCTTGGACTTGAGGAGAGAGTGCAGAATAGGTAATGGTCAATGTAAAAATCAGTGTCATGAAAATGAAATTAGGATTGCTTACTGCATAAGACCTGGAACTCATTGCTGCTTGCAGCAGTAACGATGACAGAAGAAAAGAGTCACAAGCTCCAAGAAGAGAGACCAGCGTTATTAAGTTTTCCCAGCACATCCTTCAAGGCGTGTGTGTCTCTATAATACACAAGAACTAAATAAAAATTAATGTTGAACCATTCAGAAGTGATCATATGTCACGCTCATGTCTGGTGCCTTTCCATTACACTTTTCTCCTGATTTGTTGGTACCAGAAGTAGCAGGACTTATTTTATGCAAGTTCCTCAAGTTTTCAGTGCTTCATGTTCCACAAGTTCCACAACTTTTATGTGCCTTGTGTTAGTTGCCATAAGTAAGGTTGTGGGAAACCCTAGGTCAAAGAATTGGGTAAGCATATTTCTAAAATACAAGCTTCCAGTGGAAATGCGCTGTTATTTTATTAGATACTGTTCCACAGATTACCCCCACGTAAATATATAAATCCACTGGGCTTGGGAGACTGGACATTGAGAGGGCAGATCTTTATTGTGAGAGAGACAGAGCTGAAGTGAAAGGATCATGAGTATAAGAATGGAAGACCAGAGAAGAATCACAACCAGCTCCAATTTCTACTCATATTTATTATTTTGTAAAGATAAATGTGTATCAAGAAATGAGAGGTAGTAAAAAGAAAGGAGAATAATTTCAGAAAGAAGAGGAGAAAATAACTGAAAATTTAGACCAAAGAAGTCAAAAATTATGACTAATAGTTTAATGCAGCTATTCAGTCCTGAGAGATGACTATGTCTGAGGAGATCCATGACAAAAGGAAGCAGCAATAACCTTCACTTTTCAATTTCACTCTGCCTCAGTTCCTCTACTGCTTCCTCTGAGGAGCCACAGTATTCCTCACTAGAACATGTCAGTGATGCATCTGTACCATTTGTTTTCCATTTAGAAGAGCTAATTATATTATTTTATGAGTTTAGGAATACAATTTAACAATCCATATTAATTCAAAATTCTTAAGAAACATTGTCAATACCACAACATCATAATAAAATAGAATCCTCTCTTCATACCCCTCAAAATAAAATTAACCAATATTTTGGGAAATTAACTAAAGAAAAATAAAATGTATTAAACAGTACATATAGGTCAGACTTAGACTCAAAAGGAGATGGTAAATCAAAAAATTCCAGGGGCTTCCTACTCTCTTGATATTTTTATTATGGCCTCTCTGTGGATCCATTCTATTCTTCAAATGCAGATATGAGATTTAAGTATGCTTATACTAAGCATTATCTACAACAAGCCATGAATGGGGAAATTTTTTTTTCTCCACTCAGATAAAATTTACATAGTCTTTGATTGTTCAGTGTGTTTTCTTGCAATGTAAATATCTTCAAAAGTATCTTTACAATAGTTATTTATAACAGGGTTTCTCAACCTTGACACTATTGATATTTTGGTCCAGGTAATCTTTGTTGTGGGAGCTATTCTGCTCGTTATATGTTTTTCAGCATCCTTAACTCCTACCCACTAGATGCGAATAGCACACTTTCTCCCAATTGTGATAATCAAAAATGTCTACCTATATTGCCAAATATCCTCTTTGCGGGAGGGGGCAAATTTACACTTGGCTGAGAACTACTGATTTATAAAGTCAAGCACCCATTCTCACAAAAATTTAAAAATGAAAATGGAAACAATAAAAAAATCAGTGAGATTTTCAGGTGGCCAATTACATTTTCTGTGTTTTATGAGAAATAGTTATCTATTTAAATTTTTTATATATTACATATGGGCTAGATGTGATATATTGCTGGCTCCAGAAAGAAAAATTGGCCTAACTTTTGGATAATGAATATATTAGCTACGTCAAGAAAAAGATTAGTAAAAATAAATGTTTAAAATGAAAGTTATGAAAGTTTGATTTTTATTTATTTTACCTAAGAAGAGACTGAGCCCTCTCTCCATCAAGACATCTAAATCAGAATTGAGAGGCCTAATATACTATTAATATGGGGAAAATAAGAGTTGAGTTTGTTAGGACCCACCAAGAAGATGAGAGATTTTCTAAAAAACATGTGAGGCGTCTCTGCACAAAATCTAGGCTGTGCTAAAACTCCTGGTGTACCCTGTATCTTTCAGTGCTTGACAGAGAGCACGAAAACCATCTAAATTTCTAAGGTGGCCTTTACTTGTGTTCAATACATTTAAGCCACCAGCCTCTGCCTTCAGCTCAAGGGACAAATTTAAGAAAATTGAAGGAGAATGTGAACCTACGTGCATCAACCTCAAAATTAATATTTTTTTTTTCCTGAGGAAATCTTTTAAGTGTTTTCTGCGTGAAAAAAAGACTGAAAACTCTAGAAACCCTTTTGATGAAGTTCTTCAGCCTGCTTCCTTAAAAAGATAAAGGTGTTACTAATTACTCTGCCCCCAGAATTTACATTTGTCTAAGTTTGTAATTTATTAACAAAAGGAAGGCAAAAAAATGCTTAAAAATGGAAATATTTCTGGTGATTTTCTTGCTGATACATTGTAATTTTTATTGTATGAACTTACAAAAGAACTAGATAATGTTAAACTAATTCGTTCTAAAAAACTTAAGTTTTATATTTTTCCCTCCTATGGCCCACAATATAAATTTTCATGACACTATGTATTTTCGTTCATATTTAGTTTCTTGTGAGTCTTGAGCAGTGACTCTGATAAAAATAGATGCCACTAAGTGATGGAAATTTTTGTTGTTATTTGGTAGTTCAATACCCATATGAATCAATTAAAAGCATTATATTGAAATTAGATTTATCACCGTCAAATTCTCACGTGAACTAGGAAGAAAGAAATTAGACTCCTACCTGATATCATGTATTCAAACCCAACCTATATCAGTATTTATTTTACCTCAATATCCTTGGGCAAGAACAAAATCTAATTCCAATTAGCAATGTACTTATTCAGGCAACTTTTCATAAGTGGATTACTTCTTCCCAGGCTTAATGTCATGGGTTTTGGATTTGGAGATTGAAAAATTATAGCTCCTGGCTTAAGGAACTGATATTGATTGACTACAAACTGATTTTTAAGTAATATTCAATTTGATAGAGTTCACAAATGAATAAAGCATGGAATATTCTTCCAAAAAGATCAATGTCAATTTGTAATATGGATAATAAACAGGTTAAACTACATTCAATATATTCTCCCTCATTTATTTACCAATTCAATAAATATCTATTGAACAGCTACTATGTGTCAGAGTACAATATAACTGGGACACATAAAAAAACAAAACTAACAATGTTGTCTGGTTTTATGGAGCTCATAGTATAGTGAGTGGATACAAATATAAACAGTAAATAATAGAAATAAGCAAATTATCTATTATATTACAAGGCAATAAGTGTTAGAGAAAAGGAAACAAAGTAGAGTGTAGTAGCCCACAATCCTGGGCTATAGTAATTTTAAACATGATTTGTCATAGAGCCCTATTGTAAAGGCTGAAAAAAGTGTTCATAAGAGCATACCTGGAATGTGTGGGGAACACCTGGGAGGAAAGAATTGCTGGAAAAGAGTAACTGAGGAGGTGAGTCCTGGGAGAGGAAATTGGAGAGAAAATATCTTGACAAATTGATTACCCAGGGATTTTTAGGAGCTAGAAAAGATCTTGACTTTTATTCTGAGAGCAATTCAAAGGGTTTTAGCCAGGGGAGAGACATAATTTGAATATTGTAAAGGTCTCTCGAAGTTATTAAAATAATATAAGTAGTAAATAATATAGGTGGTAAATTATAGAAGCTAAGTCCATAATAATACAAACAATGAGGAATGGATGTAGAATTCTGGATCTGTTAAATGTAGAGCTAGCTAGATTTCATGAGGGATTAAATTTTGGCTATGGCAGACAGAGGGGTCAATAATGACTCCAAGATTTCTTGTCTGAGCAATTGGAAAGATTGAGCTGTGCCATTGACTAAAATGGGAAGGATATTAGGTGTAACAAATTTTGGTTGGACGATTGATCCAATTTTGGACATGTAGAGTTTGTCATATCAAATAGATTTAGCAAGTGGTTAAGAGAAGAGACAGAAAATGAGAGTGGAGACAGTAATCTTTTGAGTTGGCAAGACAGGATGACATCTAATGCAGAGATTGAGGGACTAGCCCTTCATTAGAGCATGGGGATGCTTTCTTCATTCATAAGCAGGAGGGGTAGAATACATAGATGCAGTTGCTGATTGGCAGGTTAATTTGGTGCTGAAAGTCTGTGGAGAGTCTCAGGAATCTTCAATTGGATCATTGAATTGAAGGGAGCAAGATCATTAGCTGAGAGTGAAGACAGGAAGGATGTTTTGAAATTGCGAGGAGAGCTGAGAATTTGTAAAGGTGTTTTCAAGGAGTAAGTTGAGTAGGCTGTAGGTATTCTTCACAACTGTCCTATTTCCAGCATCTTTTTCCCGTCATTTGTTGAATATTTCATTTCTTCTTATATGTTTGAACACATATGACTTTGCCATTTTGTAAGTCAAAATTCTTAAAAATTTTACCAACCTTATATGGTTCTAATTAGTAAACACAAATTTTCTCAAGTCTCTTTCATCTTACAAAAATCCTCCCTTATTTTGTTCTTAATTTTTCTTCAAGCCACTTTCTAATCTGCCTTATTCTCTTCTTCATCGAATTTCTTGAAAAGAATCTTAGATCCATAGTCTCCACTTCATTAACTCTTTTACACTCTTCCCACCATAAATTCACTCACACCAATTAACTGAAACTCTTCTTGCTCATGTTATATATGTTTTCCTAAAGCAAACTCAAAGGTTTATTTTAATTATTTATCTTGCTGGACTTCTGAACACATGCTAGAATCGATTGCTATTTTACAATTATTAATTGAATTATCTATTTTGATAGTCTTCTAAATGTCAATGGCCTCCAATGTGTTGTCTCTGAATCCCTTTTCCTCTTATTTTGATGTGCTTTCTCTATATTATCTTGTTAATGCCAATGACTTCTCCTATCAAGTCTTTTTCTCAACCTCCGTCTTAAACCACAAAACAGTATTTATTACTACTTACCGAACCTACTGGATAGCCTCCAAATTCCTTAATCATAATTTGTCCAGAACGAAATCATATTACTCGCAAGGGCTAAAATCTGTTCCATGTCTTTTATTCTGTTTCAATATCAAACATACATCCTAAAGGCCAAAACATTGTCATTTCGTAATCAGTCACGCAGTCTTAGAAGCTAAAACACTTCTGGTCATTGCTTCTCTATGTCCCAGGTTCCTTTCCCTGCAAATCCAAAACTTATCTATTGGGCTATGTCTCATTCAGAAATATCTTCTAGGTTCACTTTCTCCTCTCTATTTTCAAGTTTCATTAACTTAATTATCTTATTCATCATTTCTTATTTAGACTGTTTTAATAAACTTTGACATAGATTTCCTGCTACAAAAATTTCTCTATTTCCTCCCTTAAAAGAGAAAAAAAATTGAAAAGATGCTTAAAATATCATCAGTTTTACCACTCCATTCATGATAATATTCAACTCCTTAGCTTGGTAGGGCCTTTTGCCACCTGTGCACAGTTTGATTTTCTAAAGTTCACATCCATATAATTTCTATTGTGCTAAAAGGTCATACCATTCTGCATAGATCACACATTCTTCAAAACATAGTATCTATGTTTAGGATACATCTTTTTGCTTGTAAGACCTTCTCCACAATTTCAGGAAAATATGCTTTTATCTTTTAAAGATCCAGCCACCTGTCATCTCCTCAGTGAAGCAATGAAGCATATATATTGCTTTTGAGTCCAACAAACCTAGCTTTGTTTGCTACTTGCTCTCCTACTCCCTCTGAAACCTTAGGAAGAGTTGAATTCAACTATCTTTATGTATGAAATGGGAAGAGTTATTGGAGTAATAAATCCAAAAATGAATATAACTGGCTTAGAAAAGAATCTGAAACCTAGTGAACACTTAATAAAACATAGCTATTAATAGTGGCAGTGGTAGTAGCAGTTAAAATAGTAATAGTAAAAATAGACTATTCCAGGAAGAGTTTACAACTCTTTATTTTGTGATGCAAGGACATTTTGCTTATATCTCAGAATTGCCTTTAAAAGTGATGCATTTTTTTTCTCATCTATGTCATCATCTCCCAACAAATAATAGTTGTCTTTTGAAGGTGAAGAGCTTAAATATTTTATTTATCTTTGTCCCCACCTATCACAGGACCAAGTGCAACATATTTGCTAACTAAATGTGTGTTGTATGAATCACAAAAAGAGCATTCTCTTCATTTAACAGTAAAAGTAGAGAAAAATATGTAAATTAAGAAAAGGTTATTTTAATCTGCCATAAATCTATAAATAACTCATTTACAGTGACAATGAAAACTTACTTCATAAAATTATGGGCCAAACAATTTTTCCTTATGTATTACCTCATTTGATTGCCACACAACCCTCTGAAGTATTACTAAATGCATTTTTCACTTAAGGAAACTGCAAATATAGGGCCTAAGTCACTTGCTAAGTTGACAGGAAATAACTGATGAATAACATGTAATAAAACATAGAGTTTTTTATTATATAATATGAATTAGGTCCCTATCTGTAATAACATATGCATTCACTCGCTCTTTTTTTTCAGTTATTTATCTTATTTATTGAGTAATTTGTTTCAAGCATTTTCCTATGTGCAGAAATAAATCAGTGAATGAGGTATATAGTGGGCCTGGCCTACTGTAACTTTAAGACGAGAATTTTGTGGTTTAACTATAGCAAAAAGCCATAGCAGGAATTAAACACTAGTAACAATGTGATAGCAGGGCATAAACAGTGAGTAACAGTGCTCCACTTAGGGTAAGGCTTTATAAGGTTTTGGTGTGAAATCCAAAAGGCAAATAAAGACAAAGGAAATGAGAATAACCTGACTTTGAAGGCTTATTAATTTTTAGCACTATAAGAGCAACCTGCATATTTTATCTCATTATATCTTTTGAAATTTCAATAAAACCTCAATTTAATAAGGAAACTGAAATCCAGTGATCTAAATCATTTGTGCTATATAGCAAAATGACAAATAAAATATCCAGTCATGAAACTTAATTCTATCTGATTTTGAAAGATCATACCTTTTCAAACTTTCAACTGACCCACGGCCTTGCTTCTGCCTTGACTTCAACTTCTATCCAGCAAGAGCAAATATCTTCCAAAACATAACTCTTTTTACTTTCAACACTGCCTCCCTCTACTTTCAACTCTGCACTTATGGATGACATTTCCAGGAGCATCATGAGGTAGGTGAAGCAGTCACCCTCAGAGATGTTATTTGTGAGGAGGTGGAGAGATATATGCCAGACACTTCCCTTGGGAGAGTGAAAAACTCCGCATACCATTTGGAAAAACTAACATTGAGTCATGGAGACCACTGCGCTTTTAAGCTCTAGCTTTCGAACAGATTTGTCCCCATCTGTGTGTATGCAGGATTGTGTTGATGTCCACAGCATATCTCCACTCTATTTGTGGTACCTCACTCTTGATGAGACTCCCAGAAACCTTCTGGAATATATTCTCCTGACTAAGGCCCCAAACTAGCATTTGAATGTCTCTTTTTATGAAAAATAGTTATCATGGGCTCAATTTCTCCAGTGATGTACAAAATGTGCGGAAATATAAGTGAGTGAAAGAGATACTATGCATCTTTCCTCCAAACAATTTGTTTTTATGTGGTATGTATCACCCAGTTTCATATCACATAAATACTCATGCACTTATGGATGACATTTGTATAGCATTCAACACCTTAAAATTGTTTTTATATATTGATATATATATATCAATATTTATCTATATGTATTATAAATTGATACGTATCAATTTTCATAACAATACAAAGGGATGTTATTTTCATTCATAATTTACACATGGCAAACCTTTGATTCTATAGTGAGCCATAATTTGCAAATAAATTATAAGCAATAGAACCAATTTTACAATGCATGCTTTTTGTTTTTATATGGTTCTATAGATTTCCTCATAACTCAAAACATTCTTATTCTTTAAAATAATTAGAAAGTCAGAACAAAATTAGTACATTTTAAATATTACTATTATTTCTATGTGTATACTTTTTTCTAATTTGAATATATCTTAAAAACCACCATAGACTTTGGTGGTTTTAGAGTTGACAAAATATAATGGCTCAGGAATGTTGATTGGCTTAAAAAGTTTCTATTCTAGCAACAGTTACAAAAAGTATATGCAATTATGCATCATTGTCTTCCTGACTTTAAATTATATCAAACATGTCTCTGAAATGACTTCAGATTTCACTAAAATTCACCAAAGGTAGGGATTCTGTCATTATAAATTAGTTTACCATTCACTAAAAAAATATATATATACATCAAAAATATATAATTTACATGTCAAATATATATATTTACATGTCATATATATGTCTATATATATGTCTATGTATGTCTATATATATATATATATTAACATGTTAAAATCCACCTGACAGTCTCTTCCATCTTACGTTTAATTATTTTCTACCAACTTCATTAAGGGCAATAAGTAAGTGCTTTAGAGATCTTCTCTAGTTTTTCTCTGCTTCGGAACCTAATGCCTGGTGAATACTAGGTACTAAAATAAATGCCTACCATTTTGATTTGAAATGAAACATTTTTCTAAATTCCAATTCGATTCTATGCAGACAATTAGGTTCTATTAACAGATATTACATAATTTAAATCTGAATTCAATTCAATTCATTCTCTAAATTTTAACAAAATTATTTTGCCTCATTTTTTCCTGACACATATATGCACACATAACAACATTTAATACTCAAAATATATTTCTGACAATTATGTTGATTATATTATATCATCCAGATAGGTAGAATGACTGACCAAAGATAGGTAAGTACATTGATAAAATTGAAAAATAAAAATATGCCTGACTCCAAAGTCTCTTTTCTACTCTAAAGGCATTTTCAGAGTACAGTTGTATCACTAGGAACAATAAAACTTTAAAGTAACAAAATAATTTACCTCCCTTTACTATAGTTTAATGTATGAATATAAAACTGTGATTTTGGAATCTCAGAACATCTTTCTTTTCATTGTCTTAGATGGTTCACAAGAAACTATAATAGAATACTAATGTGAGGCTCCACTTTTTGCTAGATAGGCAGTGTATGACAAAATTATGTTTCTCTATGTAGATCTAAAGTACTTTAGTTTTGAGTTTTCTCGATCAGTTGCCCTATCAGTGAAGTTAGTACATTAGAAGTCTTCTCTAGTTTCTCTATGATTACTATTTGTGTGACCACTATGTTCAAATAGGAAAGAGATAAAGAATCAAAATAAATTATAACTATTATAGAAGGGCTGATATTTTGGCTGCAATAACAAAGTATCACAACAAATGTCTGACAAAAATACATATAATTAAGTACCAAATTGTGTGTCACTTTCTCGTTGTTACTGTAGACTGAGCCAGCTGACATTTAGTATGGATGTGAGCTGCAAGATAAGGACATAGACATTTTGTACAAGTATAATGTTAGTAGCTCAGTCATTTTCTGAAATGATTCATAAATTCTGCTACAAAACAACTTGACGTTCCATTGTCTCCAACTTGCACACACATGATCTCATAACTGGAACAGTTTTTGTCTTTCTTTAGCAAGAAAACCCACAAATCAATAATAGACTAATAACTTTAGATATTTTTCTTGATTGCAGCCAGAAGCAATTTTGAACCAAAGTATAGATTTGAAAGATGCGAAAAAGTGAGAGGAATATGTAAAACGTTTTGTGATGATGTTGAGTATGATTATGGATACTGCATTAAATGGAGAAGTCAGTGCTGCGTATAAACTCTGGAAAAGAAGTACTATTGAGGATCAAGTCTGGAACAGAGATGCATGTTTTTCACTCAAGAGTAGGTAAAAAAATGTTTGCAACATTTAATGAAAATATACACTTTTAAATTCTAAATATATCTATTTACATATAATGAATTTAGTCTCTACTTATTCCTTGGGGATTTTTGTATTTCTCTTTTTTTATACTTTAAGTTTTAGGGTACATGTGCACAATGGGCAGGTTTGTTACATATGTATACATGTGCCATGTTGGTGTGCTGCACCCTTACCTCGTCATTTAGCATTAGGTATATCTCCTAATGCTACCCCTCCCCGCTCCCCCAACCCCACAACAGTCCCCAGTGTGTGATGTTTCCCTTCCTGTGTCCATGTGTTCTCATTGTTCAATTCCCACCTATGAGTGAGGACATGTGGTGTTTGGTTTTTTTGTCCTTGAGATAGTTTTCTGAGAATGATGGATTTTTGTATTTCAAATGGATGAACACATTATCGAAACAAGGAAACAGACTCTAATTATGTTTATAATCTCATTATTTCCACTTTGACTCTGAGACATTCATATTACTTATCTGAGTTATTCTGCTCCCTCTCTAAATATGTATATGTGACCTTATTGCCAGATTTACTATGAGGATTATGGTTATTTTCATATATCCTGGTTTCCACACCCAAATCCCTCTAAGGCATCTACTCTTCTTTAACAGAAAATGTGGTTCTTACAAACATGACAGCCACCAATTTTGACCTGTCTGATGTGTTCTTGCATACATTTAACCAATTACAGTGGTTTTGAAATGATACAATTTAACAATGCTCTCTCTGCAGGGTAATTAAGCACTATTCATAGCACGGCAAAAGGATAAATAACAAGATCTGAGATATAGAGCCCCTTTTAGCCATGTGATTCTTTTTTCAAAGAAAATCTCATAAGGAAACTCAGGAATAGGTACCTTTGTTTCAGCAGGGTAGGGCTGGTGTCTGGCCAACTCAATTTTACACCCTCAGAGAATGTGTCTAATGAAGGAAATTTCAAATTGGTTGGGGCAAGAGTTAGAATCCCATAACTATGGAGAGTTTTGCGTAACAAAGCTTGGTTAGCTGATGAGTAAACCTGACTCATAACTCAGAATAGCTCATGTTTCTAAGATCCATCATGAAATCTAGCTGAGTTAGTTTTACCTAAGAGGATAACGTTAGAAATATTTGTAGGAGTGATTTAATTTTCAGAAAGAGCTCTCATGGCTGTGCAGCTGATGTTCATATGGAAAACGGGAAATGTTACAGTAATCCTAGGAAAGATGAAGATACAGGAAAAGCAGAGATTGTGTAGTAGCAAAAATGAGGACTTTCTTGGGCACCCCGGGGACAATATTATTTACCCCCAAAATCCTCACTAAGGAAGGATGGCTTTTTTGTTTCCAGCAGTAGTGCTGTGGAGGTCAGAGATGGGGTGATGTTATTTAGTTTAACAAGATATTATTGATGTTGTGACATGCACCATGTGCTTATAATTGTCTAGGTTACTCTAACTGAAATATTTAAGTTATTTTTGTACATAGATGCAGAGATATAAGGTTCCATCTAATCAAGACAAGCAATAAATGTCTGCATAGACAGCTCTACAGAAAAATCTTACTGTTTTTGTGAAAGTACAATAATCTTTCTTACTACTTGCCCTTTGATGATAACACTATTTAACCAAGCATAGAACTCTTTTTATTCTTAATAAGCCCCAGAGAGGCAAAACTTTTCAGTTCCTTCATTTCAACACCTTACATGTGAAGAAATGTCTTTTAATACCTTTCTATTAAGATTCTACTTTTTATTTTCTTTTTTCAAAAAATTATGTTCCAGCCTGGCACGGTGGCTCACGCCTGTAATCCCAGCACTTTGGGAGGCAGAGCAGGCGGATCACGAGGTCAGGAGATCGAGACCATCCTGGCTAACATGGTGAAACTCTGTCTCTACTAAAAATACAAAAAATTAGCTGGGCATGGTGGCAGGTGCCTGTAGTCCAAGCTACTCGGGAGGCTGAGGCAGGAGAATGGCATGAACCTGGGAGGCAGAGCTTGCACTGAGCAGAGATCATGCCACTGCACTACAGCCTGGGCGACAGAGCGAGAATGCGTCTCAAAAAAAATAATAAAAGTTATTATGTTCTCTTTTAAGATCAGAATTCCACCAGGTAATATAAACTTTTATGCAGGGATATTTGTATTGCTGAATTAGAGAAGGAATCACTGGTTTATTTCTTGACAAAATAATGATAATACTCTGGGTATTAAAAGATCATTGCATTAATTACATCAGTATTATTTAGTTACGGTTATTTAGATTCTAATCTTGACACTGTAAAGTGTTGGAGAAAATGTTTGAATATAGTTATCAGCACCAAAATCTTATCTATGGTAATAGTGTATAGCTAGAGTAAGGATTGTTTACCTTTTCCTTATCTTTAGCCTATTGCCAATGAACTAATTCCCATTAAGAAAAATATTACGTTATTATTCTCTTCTGGGTACTACCAGAATATCACGTCCATTGACCTTTCTTTGAGTACAACTTGTACTACCCTTCCAACTATAAGGGAACTTGAACATAGAATGTAATAGCTAATAGCTTACAAGCTTACATAAGAGCTATCTTTTAGTGAGATTTCTTTATTTCTTTTTTTTTGAGACAGAGTCTTGTTCTGTTGCCATGCTGGAGTACAGTGGAGAGATCTTGGCTCACTGCAACCTCCACCTCCTTGGTTCAAGTGATTCTGCTGCCTCAGCCTCCCAGATTTTTGGGACTACAGGCACCCGCCACCATGTCCAGCTAATTTTTGTATTTTTAGTAGAGACGGGGTTTCACCATGTTAGCCAGGTTTGTCTCGATCCCTTGACCTCGTGATCCGCCCGCCTGGGCCTCCCAAAGTGCTGGGATTACAGGAGTGAGCCATCGTGCCCAGCTGAGATTTCTTTACCTAAGAAATATGTCATTATATCAGTAATGTTGCCAGATATCCTGAATTAATGCCCAAATACTGATTTTCTGAAAATAAACAGAAGTGTTGAAGTAATTTTTATTTGAATTTTTGCTGAAATTCATGACTCATACTTTCTGATGTGTTTCCTGATATACCACAAGCTCCTTGAAAAATCACTGGCACATGGCATACACTCAATAGATAACTCTTAAATAAACGTGCCTAAATCTTTCCTTTTTCATTTTATTCTCTTTCATTTTATTTTATTTTCATTTTTATTCTGTCTTAAAATCTCATTTTTTTCATTTTTATTCTTTTATATCAAGTTAAAGATTTGTGGTTAAAAAAATTAAGCAAGTTATTTCATCACTTGGGATCTCATTTTTTAACCTGTAACATGAAATAATTGGATTAGATTTTCTATGTGTCTTCTTATGTTTTTCTATGACTCTATAATTTTTTAAAATGTTACTGTATACATAGCAGGGATCAAAAATAAACTATAGCCCATGGACAGAATTTGGCCCTTCTCTCATATAACCTGCGAATTAAGAATTGTTTTTACAGATAAACATTTATAACTGATTTTGATGATAAGAAGAACATCATCTTATCATCATTCATTCAATATTCTTATCATATATTCAATATCTTATCATATATTCAATATAATAGATGATATATATCATATATTTAATATAACAGATATTTAATATAATATATGATGTATCTCATATATATCATCTAATGTAAAATATGATACATGATATATGTATCATCTATTTAATGTAATAGATTATATATAATCATCTTTTTAATATAATAGATGATATATATGATACATATATCATCTATTTAATATAATAGATGACATATGATACTTATATCATCTATTTAATATAATAGATGATATATATGATACATATATCATCTATTTAATATAATAGATGATATATATGATACATATATCATCTATTTAATATAATAGATGATATATATGATACATATATCATCTATTTAATATAATAGATGATATATATGATACATATATCATCTATTTAATATAATAGATGGTATATATGATACATATATATCATCTATTTAATATAATAGATGATATATATATGATACATATATCATAGTTTCTTTATCCACTCGTTGATTGATGGGCATTTGGTTTGGTTCCATGATTTTGCAATTGTGAATTGTGCTGCTATAAACATGCATGTGCAAGTATCTTTTTTGAATAATGACCACTTTTCCTTGGGGTAGATACCCAGTAGTGGGATTGCTGAATCAAATGGTAGTTCTGCTTTAATTCTTTAAGGAATCTCTACACTGTTTTATATAGTGGTTGTATTAGTTTACGTTCCCACCAGCAGTGTAGAAGTGTTCCCTGTTCACTGCATCCATACCTACATCTACTGTTTTTTGATTTTTTGATTATAGCCATTCTTGCAGGAGTCAGGTGGTATCACATTGTGGCTTTGATTTGCATTCGCCTGATAATTAGTGGTGTTGAGCATTTTCTCAAATGTTAGTTGACCATTTGTTTATCTTCTTTTGAGAATTGTCTACTCATGTCCTTAGCCCACTTTTTGATGGGATTGTTTGTTTTTTTCTTACCAATTTGTTTGAGTTCGTTGTAGATTCTGGGTATTAGTTCTTTGACAGATGTATAGATTGGGAAGACTTTCTCTGTTGGTTGTCTGTTTACTCTGCTGAAGGTTCCTTTTGCTGTGCAAAAGCTCTTTAGTTTAATTAGGTCGCAGCTAATTACCTTCGTTTTTGTTGCATTTGCTTTTGGTTTCTTGGTCATGAAATCATTGCCTAAGCAAATGACTAGAAGGGTTTTTCCAATGTTATCTTCTAGATTTTTTTTTTTTTTTTGAGACAGAGTCTTGCTCTGTCTTTCAGGCTGGAGTGGTGTTTTGATCTCAGCTCACTGCAACCTCCACCTCCTGGGTTCAAGAAATTCTCCTGCCTAAGCCTCCTGAGTAGCTGGGATTACAGGTGCATGCCACCATGCCTGGCTAATTTTTGTATTTTTAGTAAAGATGGGGTTTCACCATGTTGGCCAGGCTGGTCTTGAACTCCTGACCTCAGATGATCCACATGCCTCAGCCTGCCAAAGTGCTGGGATTACAGGCGTGAGCCACTAAGCCTGGCCATCTTCTAGAATTTTTATAATTTCAGGTCTTAGGTTTAAGTCTTTCATCCATCTTTAGTTGATTTTTGTATAAGGTAAGAGATGAGGGTCCGGTTTCATTCTCCTACATGTGGCTAGCCAATTATCCTAGCACCATTTGTTGAAAAGGGTGTGCTTTCTCCACTTTATGTTTTTGTTTGCTTTGTCAAAAAGCAGTTTTCTGTAAATATTTGAGTTTATTTCTGATTCTCTATTCTGTTCCATTGGTCTATGTGCCTATTTCCAGTTTTTCATCTTGGGCAGCAAACCTGAAACAATTGCCCTTTAGAGAAAATGCTTGCTAACCCCTATATAGATAGAGTCAGTCACGTTTTCAAGAGCAAAATGTAATTCATGAAGCAGCAGTCTTAGCATTACCTGAGAACTTGTTAGAAATGCACATGGTAGGGCTCAGATTCACTGAATCAAAAACTCTGGAGATGAGTCCCAGCAATCTATGTTTAGCCTATTCTTCAATTTATGAAAATGCACAGAAGAGTTTGCTAACCATTGCCTAGAAATGCTTTTAACCTTTGAAATTTTTGATGTGAAATTATGGTTGTTTACTTTTTTACCGAACTTGGGCCAAACTATTAGCACCTCCCTGACATTACTGACAAAATATACTCGAGTAGTAGAAGAAAGATGCCAAGTCACATGACCCTTTCTTTGGAATGGATACATACAAAAGAAAAAAATGTTAAAATATACTTTTAGATAAAGCAATTCGTACTCTTCCTGCATATTATAGTTCATGGATTTGTGTTCTTTGGCCTAAATTAATAAAAACTCAATCATATGTGTCTTTTTTCTACTTATTCAGTGCTTATTTCTCATCTTCTAATATTCTGAAATATAAAAATTCAAGTTTAAAATTCAGAAATAAAAGTTAATTTTCCTCTTACATGTTTATAATTTGTGTATGGAAATTTCCACAAAAATAGTAACAGCATTTCTGTTCGCCCTCCCTCTCTCTGGAATTTTAACTCTTCAAAAGGATATGTTCTAATAACCACTTTTCTTAAAGCCTAACACATTCCTTGAACACAGGATATTGTAGTGTTGTATTGACAACACAGTCCTAATTTTCTTGCAGCTTCCAAGATTGGTATACTGCTCCACTGGAGGATACGACCAAGACTACCTAATGCTCCCTCAGGTTTCACTAAATTTTAGACAGGTTTCTTCCTGACTATAGAATCCCTTACCTCACTTTTCTTAATTGCATTTACTTTAGAAAACTTTCTATTGTAAATATTTTTCCTACCTTTGAAATACATGTAAAACTTCTCCCAGCCTCTTGCCAGTATTACAAGCAAAGAAATTTCTTTCTCAAAGACCTGGAGACCATTATTTTGACATGTACACATTGAAGGATATAGCACTACTATCTCCCAGTCTCTGTGGGAGGCTGTCTAACTTCAAAGGGCACTAACTTTAATAACCAATTAGATGGCCTAATCACAGAGAAAAGCATTTGAGAATTCAGAAATAACTCAATGTGTTCAATGTAGCCCATTGATTAATCTCTTCTCAATGTCTTCCACTACTTTTCCAGTAGCTGACCCTAGCCCTGAAAAACCTGCCTGCCTTTTATTTCAGGAAAGTTCAGTCTGTCTCCTCTATTGCAACAGTCATAAAGTCTTGCTTGACTGTTTGCTTTTGCCCAGTGAAATTTTCACTTTGATGAATAAAAGAACAAAAATTGGGATTGTGGGCTTGAAAGGTTTATATAGGAAATGTGATCCCCAGTGTGGTTCTGACATTAATCAGAACTAACAGTACTTTTGGAGAAATACACTTTATGGTAGAATGTTGTAAATACAGATGAGTTATACATATAAATGCTGTGAGGAGACAATGAAGATTATTATCACTTTTCTTAGAATGGTCAGGGAAGATTTCAGAGAAGAAATGGTATTTCCATTTATGTTTGGCTTATTAGATATCTCTAGAGCCTGGCCCAGCGTTTAACCAAGAGTAAATACTTGATACATTTTTATTTAATGAGTGAGTGGATAGATGGATGCATATATAAATAATAACGTATCAAAGACCAGTTTGAAGACTATTCATATTTAAGCTTATAATATAGAAAAAAGGAAAAATAGGTTTTCAAAGAGCTATATTTGAAATAATGTTAGAATTAAGAAAGGCATTTTTAGGAGGAATGGTCATATATAATGTTAAAATAGAGTATCTTGAAATAGACAGTGATTTGAATAAATTGTCCATTATTCAAGTTTTCCTGTGAGAAGATTCCATGTGGGATTGATTTCACTGCCTTCTGGAACTACGTTGTAGGATGAATAAAGAGATTTAATATTTAAAGTTTAAGCTGTGCTACAGTTTCCTCTTTTGTTCTATTTTCATATACTCCATCTCTTCAGTTATCATTAGAGGAAACCCAGTATATGCAAAAGAAATATGTTCATCTGTTATCTGTGCCAAGTGATAGACTGGAGTTTTATTTATTTATCTTTTATTTATTCACAACACATAATAATTGTACCTTATTATGGTGTACAATGTGATTTTTCAGTGCATGTGTGCATAGAATAATGTTCAAATTGGGGTAATTACTATATCCATCACTTTAAACATTTATCATTTCTTTGTTGTGACAACACTCACAATATTATTTTCTAGCTATCTTGATATATAACACTACATTGCTATTTGCTATAGTTGCCCTACTGAGTTATATAACACCAAAATTTATTCCTTCTGTATAACTTTGTAGTCATTGACCAACCTCTCTTGATTCCCCTCTTCCTTACTCTCCTTCCCAGTCTCTGGTAAACCACTATTCTACTCTCTACTTCTATGAAATTAACTTTTCTAGATTTCACATACGAGTGAAGTCATGTGGTGCTTGCCTTTCTGTGTCTGGCTTGTTTTATTTAACATAATGTCCCCCGATTTCATTCATGTTGCTGCAAATGAAATAATTTTATTCTGTTTTATGGATTAATATTGTTCCATTTTTGTATATATGCCACATTTTCTTTATTCATTCATCCATGATGGACACTAGGTTGATTCTATATCTTGGCTATATTAAATAGCATTGCAATAAACATGGGTGTGCAGATATCACTTCAACATATTGATTTTATTTCCTTTGGATATATGCCAAGTAATGAAAATGCTGAAATATATGGTGGATCTCGTTTTGTTTTTTGAGAAACTTCCATGCTGTTTTCCATAATGCCTGTGCTAATTTACGTTCCCACCAACAGCTCTCTTCATCCTTATGTATTCATTAAGAGACTATGCTGTTCTTTGTTGGAAATATTGACAAAGTGTTAAAAGGGAAAGGACTGAGTTACATGGGGATAAATTGGAAAATACAAATTTAGGTAAGGAGAGAAAATAAAGGAAACATTCACTAGTTTATCATCGTGGGTATAAAAAAATGTAGGTCTGTTTTTTTGTCAGCAGCCTGAAAATCTTTAATTCTTCCATATCCATCCTTTTTAATGTAAATATTTAAACATTATTAAAATGGAACAACTATAGCAAGAACCTCAGAATCCTTAGACGTGATATTTGAACCCAGAAAACATTATTATGCTTAGCTAATTTAATAGTATATAGGTGTGTAGTAGTATATGATTGTTGTTTTAATTTGGTAGCACCAAATGAATAATTATATTGAGCATTTTTATGTGTTTATTTGCTACCACATATCTTTTGTGAAGTGCCTATTTAAATTTCTTGCACATTATTATATTGGATTGTTATTTTTATTATCAAGTGTGTAAAATTTTATGTATTCTAAATAAATCTTTTATAAAGAATATAATTTGTAAATATTTTCCCTCATCTATGATCTACTTTTCATTCTCATAATAATTGATAGAGAACAAAAGTACTGCATTTTGAAGAGGTACAAATATTCTTTTATTTTTCTTTCATGAGTTCTGCTTTTAGTATTTAAATGTCTGCCTAATCCAAGATTATGAATTCCTTTTCTATGTTTTCTTCTAGACATTTTATATAATTGTAGGTTTTACTTAGAACTATTACAAGTTTTGAATCAGTTTTTGTGCATCATGTGAGAGCTAAAGTATATATGTGGATATCCAATGGTTTCACTACCATTTGTTGAATTCATTCTCCCTTGAATTGCCCTAGCACCTTTGCCAAAAGTAAATTGAGCATGTATATACAGACTTATTGGTCTATTTTTCTATGTTTGTGTCAATACACACTATCTTGATTATGAAAGGCTTATAATGAATCCTGAAGCAAATAGTGTAAATCTTTCAACTTTTTTCTTTTTCAAAGTTGCTTTAGCTATTCTTGGTCCTCTATATTTCCCTATAAATTTAATAATCATCTGGTCAATTTCTCCAAATATTTCGTAGGGATTTTTATTGGGATTTGCATTGATTCTATAGATCAATTTGTAGAAAATTGATATCTTAAAGAAGATCAGACTTTCAATCCATGAACCTGGTGTAACTTCCTATTTATTTAGGTCTTTTAAAATTTCTCTCAGCAATGTTCTGTACTTCTGAGTGTACAAGTCATCATTTATTATATTTATCCCTATTTTATATTTTAGTGCTACTGTAATGTTGTTCTTTTAAAGATGTTTCTGATTGGTTCTAACATGTAGAAATACAATTTTTTTGCACACTAATCCTGTGTCCTACAACCTAACTAAATTCACTTATTTGTTCTAGTAACTTTCCCATAAATATCATAGGATTTCCTACATATTTGATGACTTAATGTGCAAATGAAAACAATATTACTTTTTCTGTTTCGATCTGGATATATTTTATGCATTTTTTTGTGTTTATTACCCTGAGTAAAATCCTTCAGTACCATGTTGAATAGGAGTGATGAAAGTGGACATCCTTACCTGGTTCCTCATCTTAGGAAGAATGCATTCAATTTTTTAGCCATTGAGTAGGATGTTTAACTGTTGTTTTATTATAAATGCTAATTATCAGGTTAAGGAAATGTTTTCTATTTTATATTTCCTGAGTGACTTTGTTAGGAACAGCTTTAGATTTTTTCAAAACTTTTTTTTTCCTGTATCTATCAAGATTATTTTATATATATATAAATATATTTTATTCAGTTAATGTGGTAAATTATATTGAATGATTTTCAAATAGTAGACAAATCTGTATTCCTGAAAAACTCCACTTGGTCATAATGTATTAATATTTTCATATTAAATGTTTGGTAGAACTTCTTATTGACACCACCTGGAGTTCTATTTAGGAGAAGGTTTTAAGTACAAATTTAATTTATTTAATAGACTTTGGGTTGCTGGAGTTTAACTGTTTTTTGTTTTTTGTTTTTTGTTTTTGAGTGAGTTTTGGTAGTTTATAGGTTTTCAAATAATAAGTCCATTTCTTTTAAATATTTAAATTTATTATAAAGATATTCATAATATTTCTCATTTTTTCACTATTTGTAGAATCTGTAATGATGAAAGTTCTCATATTTTTAATATAGAGAATTTGGAATATTTTTCTCTTTTGTGCCTGCATATTCTGGATAGAGGTTTATTGGATTTATTAATCTTCTTAATGACTCTGTTTTATTTATTTTTCTCTTTTTTGATTTTGTTTTATTTATTTCACCCATGTTATTTATAATTTCCTTTCTTTTGCTAAATTTGGTTTTTATTTGCTTTTCTTTCACTAATTTCTTGAAATGGAAGCTGACATTTATTTATGACTTTTTTTTCTAATCAAGGCATTTAATGGTATATAATTTTCTCTAAGTACTGTTTAGCTGCATTACACATTTTTATATGCTGTATTTCATTTTTATTCATTTTCAAATATTTTCTAATTTCCTTTTCATCTTTATTGACTCATGAGTTATTTATCAATGCACCATTTAGCTTTCAAGTATTTGAATTTTTCCACCCAGGTATGCACATTTTAAGTATTTCTTTTATTGATATTTACTGAATTCCATTATTATCAGAGAACATACTGACAGTTTTTCAAATTTGTTAAGACATATTTTATTGTCCAAAATATGGTTTATCTAGATAAATATTTTCTGTTCTGTTGCAAATGTATTCTGCTTTTATTGGTTGGAACGATTTAAAAATTCAACTTAGGTTAAGTTGTTGAGAGTTTTTAAGTTAAAACAGCTATGTGTTTCATTCATTATTGATAATGCTATATTGAAACCACTAATTATAACTGAAATTTTTTATTTCTCTCTTTAGTTCTATTATTATTTGCTTCACGTATTTTGAGTCTCTGTGATTAGATGCATAAGCGTCTTGGAATTTTTCTTTTTTTTTTTTTTTTTTGAGACAGGGTCTTGCGCTGTTTCCCAGGCTGGAGTGCAGTGGCGCGATCTCGGCTCACTGCAAGCTCCGCCTCCCGAGTTCAGGCCATTCTCCTGCCTCAGCCTCCAGAATAGCTGGGACTACAGGCGCCCGCCACCACGCCCAGCTAATTTTTTTGTACTTTTAGTAGAGACGGGGTTTCACCATGTTAGCCAGGATGGTCTCGATTTCCTGACCTCGTGATCCGCCTGCCTGGGCCTCCCAAAGTGTCTTGGATTTTTATTTCCTCTTAATGAATTGACTTCTTTGTCATTATGAAATGACATGTTTTATTTCCAGTGATATTCTTTGCTTGAAAATATACTTTGTCTCGCATTAACGTAGACATTCTAACTTTAAAACTATTTTTCTCTATTTATTTTCTTTTTTTAGAGACAGGGTCTTACTATATTGCCCAGGCTGGCCTCAAACTCCTGGCCTCAAATTATTGTCCTGCTTTCGCCTCCGAAGTAGCTGGGACTACAGAAGCATGCCATTATGTCCAGGCTTTTCTAACTTTCTTTTGATTACTGTTAGTATAGTATGACTTTTTCCATCCTTTTGCTTGTAATCAATTTTTATTTTGGTATCTAGTGTTTATTTCTTACAGGTAGCATGTAGTTGGGAGTTTAGACCATGAAAATTTAAAGCGATTTTTGACATTTTTTTAATATCTATTATTCTAGCAACTGGTTTGCTATTTGTGCCTCCTGTTATTTGTTTCTATTGATCTGTTTTACTACTTTTTAATTATTTGTACACTTTTAGGTGAAATAATTAATGCCTTATGAACGTTTATGGGGATAATACCTGAAAGAAATCAGCAGTTTACAAATGGATAAATCAATGGTTTTAAGAAGGGATAAGACAAAGTTAAGGATGAAATCTTCAGTGGGAGACCATTCACATTAATTTACAAGGAAAAAAATGTATTATGTCTGTGCCCTTATTGAAGAGGACCAATGATTAATAGCACAAACAGCAGTCAACACCATAAACATCTCAATTGTTTTAATGTACACAATTCTGACTAAAAAATTATTGTTGAGTGAACTTTCCTCTCAATTTGTGTCAAAGCTGTTGCATCCAGCTAGGAGAGGTGGCTCATGCCTGTCATCCCGGCACTTTGGGAGGCTGAGTGGGTGCATCACTTGAGGCCAGGAATTTGAGACCAGCCCGGCCAACATGGCGATACCCTGTCTCTACTGAAAATACAAAAATTAGCTGTGTGTGGTGGCTCGCAAATCTAATCTCAGCTACTTGGAAGGCTGAGGCACAAGAATTGCTTGAACCTGGGAGGCAGAGGTTGCAGTGAGTCAAAATTGCACCTCTGCACTCCAGCTTGGGTGACAGAGTGGGACTCTGTCTCAAAAAAAAAAAAAAAAAAGTTGCATCCAGAGCAACTGCAGTCAAGAACAGAATTTTCAATGGAAATTTTAAGCAAGTAGGATCAAGATTCCAGTGCATTTTTTGAACAAGTTATAACATGAGGTTATTTTTACCAGTTTTACCAGTACAATCAAAGCAATGGCTACCAAAAGGTGGAAATGGCCAAGTCAATGCAAAAGTGAACTGGTCAGGAACAAAGGTCATGGCAACAGTTCTTTGGGGTGCTCAAGGCATTTTGGTTATTGACTTTCTGGAGAGCCAATGACAATAACATGCTTATTATATCAGTGTTTTGAGAAACATAGCCAAAGAAAAATGCCTGGGAAAACTTCACCAGAGACTTCTTCTGCACTATGACAATGCTCCTGCTCATTCCTCTCATTAAGCAAGAGCAATTTAGAGAGAGTTTTAATGAGGAATTAGTAGGCATCCACCTATAATACTGATTTTCGTCCTTCTCCTTTTTTGGGGTTTGTTTCCAAATCGTAGAAAATCCTTAAAGGCACTCATTTATCTTCACTCAACAATATAAAAAGGACTGCATTGATACGGTTAAATTCCCAGAATTCTTAGTTCTTTAGGGATGGACTAAATGGCTGGTATCAGTGCTTACAAAAGTGGCTTACACTTGATGGAGATTTTGTTGATAAATAAAGTTTATATTTTGTATTTTTATCTTTTAATTTCATTGTTCCATACAGTTTTTGACTCCTAATATTACTTATTCATAGTTAAGAAATGGCATGACTTATTTTGCAACACATATCTGTTGACCTAGAGTACATGCCCTTTGTACAATGACTTGCTTTGTAATGGAAAACTTGTTCACTCTTTCAAAAAATAAGTTAAATAATGGATTACAAATTAAACATAAAATACCTTCATTCATTTTCCATTTCCATTTCCACTTTTGTAAGTTAATATATCTTCAATATTTTTCTTTTTTGAATCTGAGTTATCTAAAACAAAGTTTTGGCATATTGAGGAAAATTACACAATCCTTTTTGTCCTTTAAAGAACTTCACCACATAAAATAATTCTAAATTTTAAATAGACAAATTGAATTTATCTACATTTTGCATTGTAACCAAATGTATCACCTAGGCATTATTTTATTTGTAATGAAAATAAATACATTAGCTCAAATACCTAAAACAATAGATTTAGAGAATGTTAGAAACAAACCCTGGTAGCATTGTGTAGCCTTATTCTACAACTGAGGAACCTTAGTCTCAGAAATTGTAATGAAATTTTCAAATGTTAAAAAATTTCTGGGCCTTGGTTAGGACAGGAACACATTAACTTAGCGGTCTCCAAATTATTGTCCATTGACCAGCAACATCAGCATCCCCTGAGAACTTAAAAATGTATAGTCTCAGGCCTCACCCCAGATATATAGAATAAATTGAAACTGTGCAGGTAGGACACAGCACTCTGTGTTTTAACAAATCCTTCAAGTGATTCTGATGTATGCTGATGTATGGGAATGATTGCTGAAACTCAAATATGCTTTCCTTACATCATGTTGCCTCATGCAGCCAGAGAGCTGACAAGTAATGTGAAGGCCTTGGGCCTACAGTTAGCAATTTAAAAAAAGCAATAAGGAACATATGTCCCCTCATAGAAGTGCTTGGACAGCTTCTAAATAGTTTAAGAAGTTTAGTTCATAAAATCATGAAATGAGATTGAATGACATTTCCATCATTTTTCACCTCAATTTGCTAAAATTACTACATCCTATGGAAAAAAAAAAACGATTTACTCGTTTAGAGATTTTCAATTTTGAATGTTTCTTTTTTGATGAAAAATTCTCCAACACTGAGTAAAGGAGCTCAGTGCCAGTTTGCAGTGAGGGAATCACAGACATTTTATTTAACCTTAGATTTTGAAGTCTATGATTACTGTATTAAAGCTTCCTTCATGCCTGTAATTTAAGATACCCAAAACAAAGTGTTGAATCTTTGCAAGATATAAAAATAAATTTAAAAAGTCCCTAATTTTAAGCATCCCTTCCATTGTAAAATTTGCCTGAAGCCACTGACCTCAGTCATTCTCATGGTACTTTCATTTCTCAGATGTATTTATTATGCAACTATCCATTTAATTGAGAGAACAGAAAAATACAAAATGAAAATACAGTACAGAGATGGAACTCTGAAGCTAGAATTATTCTTTATATTTAAGAATATAAATATATTCTTTATATTTCCATTGCACTGCTAACAGTTAAGGACTTCTCCTTTGACTTAATCTACATTCTATTTCTCTCTGCCCACAAACAAATAATATGAAAATAAAGGAATTTATAGGAAATTATGTAACGTAATGCAATGAGAAAGCTGCATATTTTACATAAAAGTTAAACTTTCTCTTTTCCCATAAAGGGGAAGTTTCTTATGTATGGAAAGGTGAATGAGTATCATTTTTGCTTCTGTTCCCTTACATGAAAAATGAAGAGAAAGATTCCTTTTTACTAGAGCTGGATACAAATTTAATTGCCTGTTATATGTCTAAAAAGTTATCTAGTGCCATGTCCATGGTACACTTCTTCCTTTAGGAAATTTATCTTATTATTCTAGCTTCAGGATTTAATTAGGGGACAACATTATCTTAGAATTCTTGCTCTATGACAACAAAAATGTTAAAAGTTGAACCCTTGGCCAGGCGCGGTGGCTCATGCCTGTAATCCCAGCACTTTGGGAGGCCGAGGTGGTCGGATCACCTGAGGTCAGGAGTTCGAGACAAGCCTGGCCAACACGGTGAAACTCCGTCTCTACTAAAAATACAAAAATTAGCTGGGTAACATGGCGTGTGGCTGTAATCCCAGCTACACAGGAGACTGAGGTAGGAGAATCGCTTGAACCCAAGAAACAGGGGTTCATTTGTCTCAAGAAATTTTTCAATTTTCTCCTTAATTTTTTCATTGACTCACTGGTAATTCAGGAGTATATCATTAATTTCCATGTATTTTTATAGCTTGTAAAATTCCTGTTATTAATTTCTTGTTTTATTCCACTGTGGTCAGAGAAAATGCTTGACAGTATTTTGATTTTTTTAAGACTTGTTTTGTGACCTAATATATGGCCTATCCTTGAGAATGATCCATGTGCTTATGTAAAGAATGTGTATTCTGCCTCCACTGGATAAAATGTTCTGTAAATATCTATTAGAACCATTTGGTCTATAGTGCAGATTGAGTCTGATGTTTCTTTTTGATTTTCTGTCTGGGAAGATCTGTCCAATGCTGGAAGTGAGGTGTTGAAGTCTCCAGCTATTATTGTATTGGGACCTGACTCTCTCTCTTTAGCTCTAATAATATTTTCTTTATATATCTACGTGCTCCAGTTTGGGGTGCATAGATATTTAAAATTGTTATGCCCCCTTGCTGAATTGACACCATTATTATTGTATAGTGACATTACTCGTCTCTTCTTACTGTTTTTTTCTTGAAATCTATTTTGTCTCATATAAGTATAGCTACTCCCATTCTTGTTTTGGTTTCCATTGTCATGGAATATATTTTTTCATTCCTTTATTTTTAATCTAAATGTGTATTTATAGCTGACATGTGTTTCTTGCAGGCAGGAGATCAATGGGTCGTGTACTTTCTTCCATTCTATCCAGTCTATGTCTTTGGATTAGAAAGTTTAGTTCACTTATGTTCAATATTATTATTGACAAGTAAGGACTTAACTCCTGTAATATTGTTTTCTGATAGTTTTGTGGTCTTCTTGTCCTTTTCTTTCCTTCCTATCTTCCTTCAGAGAAGGTGATTTTCTATGGTGATATGATTAATTTCCTGCTTTTTATTTTTTTGTGTCTCCGTTGTATACTTTTTGGCTTCAGATTAGCATGAGGCTTGCAAATATTATAACCCATTATTTTAACCTGATAACCACTTAATAGTGTTTGCATAAATAGACATGCCAAAACCCAAATACTAATAAAAACTCCATGCCTTAACTCTGTCCCCTGCTTTTTAACTGTTTGCTGTTTCTATTTGTGTGTTATTGTACTGTCTGTGTCTTAAAAAGTACAGTTGGAGTTATTATTTTTGATTGGTTCATCATTTAGTCTTTCTACTTAGGTTGAGGAACTTAAACACAACAGTTACAGTGTTATGATATTCTGTGTTTTTCCATGTATTTACTGTTACCCATGAATTTTATACCTTCAGGTGATTACTTACTGCTCATTAATGTCTTTTTCTTTCTGATGAAGTGTTCTCTTTAGCATTTCCTGTAGGACAAGTCTGGTGTTTATGAAATCACAGTTTTTGTTTATCTAGGAAAGACTTTAATTCTCTTTCATGTTTGAAAGATATTTTTGCCAGATATACTATTCTAGAATAAACATTTTTTCCTTAAGCATTTTAAATATACCATGCCACTCTCTCTTGACCTGTAAGGTTTCCACTGCAAAGTCTGCTACCAGATGTATTGACACACTGTTGTATGTTATTTGTTTTCTCTTGCTGCCTTTAAAATTCTTTATCCTTGATCTTTGGGAGTTTAATTTTTAAGTGGTTTGAGGCAGTCCTCTTTTGGTTAAATCTGCTTATTGTTCTGTTACCTTCTTCTGCTTGGATATTGATAACTTTTTGTAGGTTTCAGAAGTTCTCTGTTATCCCTTTGAATAAACTTTCTACCGCTATCTATTTTGCTGCCTCCTTTTTAAGGCCAATAACTCTTAGATTTACCCTTTTGAATCTATCTTCTAGATAATGTAGGTGTGCTTCATTGTTTTTTATCTTTTTTTTTTGTCTCCTCTGACACTATATTTTCAAACAGCCTGTCTTCAAGCTCACTAATTCTTTCTTCTGCTTGATTAATTCTTTGTTAAAGGACTCTGTTGCATTCTTCAGTATGCCAATTGCATTTTTTCAGCTCCAGAATTGCTGCCTGATACTTTTTAATTATTTCAATCTCTTTGTTAAATTTATCTAATAGAATTCTGAATTCCTTCTCTGTGTTACCTTGAATTTATTTGTTTCCTCAACACAGCTATTTTGAATGCTCTATCTGAAAGGTCACATATCTCTGTTTCTCTAGAAATGGTCCCTGGTGCCTTATTCAGTTCAATTGGTGAGGTCATTTTTTCCTGGTGTTGATGGTAGTACATATTCTTCATCATCTGAGTATGGAAGACTTAGATATTTATTGTAGTCTTCACTGTCTGGTCTTATTTGTACCCATCCTTCTTGGAAAGGCTTTCCAGATATTTGAAAGGACTTGGGTGTTGTGATCTAAGATATATCTCCTTTAGGGGTCACCCCAAGCCCAGTAATGCTGTGGTTTTTGTAGACTCATAGAGATACCGCCTTGATGGTCTTGGACAAGATCCTTGAGAATTCTCTGGATTATCCAGCAGAGACTCTTATTCTCTTCTCTCACTGTCTCCCCACAAAACAGTCTTGGCCAGGTGTGGTGGCTCATGCTTGTAATCCTAGCAATTTGGGAGGCCGAGGCAGATGGATCACCTGAGGTCAGGAGTTCTAGACCAGCCTGCCCAACATGGTGAAGCCCCGTCTCTACTAAAAATACAAAAATTAGCTGGGCATAGTGGTGGGCACCTGTAATCCCAGCTACTCAGGAGGCTGAATCACAAGAATTGCTTGATCTTGGGGGGCAGAGGTTGCAGTGAGCTGAGATCGTGCCATTGCACTACAGCCTGGGCGACACAGTGAGACTCCATCTCAAAAACAAACAAACAAACAAAAACAAAAAAAAACCAGAGTCTCTCCATCTGTTCTAAGCTACCTAAAGCTGTGAATGGAGTGACTCAAGGACCTCTGTGCCCACCACCCACCACTATGACTGTGCTGGTTCAGACCTAAAGTAGGTACAACGCTAGGTGTAGCCCAAGGCCTGCCATAAGCAGTCCCTGGCTACTGCTTATGTTTGCTCAAGGCCCTATGGTTCTAAAATCAGCCAGTGGTGAAGCCACCCAGGCCTATGTCCTTCCCTTCAGGGTGTCAAGTTTCCCCAGGCCCTAACGTGTCCAAAGGCGTCATCCAGGAGTGAAGGACTAGAGTTTAAAACCTTAGAATTTGATGTGGTGTTCTATTGTACTGCAGCTTAGCCGACACTCAAACCACAATATACAGTTTTTCTCAGTCTTCCCTCCCCTTTCAAAGACAAAGGAGCCTCACTTCATAGCCATTGCCAACCCAGGCCATAAGGAGTACTGCCAGACAACACCTGAAGTTCCCTTAAGGCCCAAGGGCTCTTAAGTCAGCTCGTTGGGAATGCTACCTGGCCTGGGACTTCAGGGCAATGGGTTCCCCTCTAGCCCAGGCCAGGATTAGAAATCCTATTCAAGAGTCAAGTCCTGGAATCAGGGACTCTAAGAGCCTGCTTACTGTTCTACCCCACTGTGGGCATGCTGGTACCCAAGGTGCAAGACAAAGTCTCCTTTACTTTTCCCTCTGCTTTTCTCAAGCAGAAGGAGTTTTGCCCCATAGTCACCACAGCTAGTAATATGCTGAGTCTCACCTGAAGCCAGCAAGTGTCAGAGGCTCATCCAAGGCCCTTGATGTAGGACCTGGGTATCACTGCTGATTACTCAAGGCCCAAGGGCTCTTCAGTTAGCAGGCGATGAATGTTGTCATGACTGGGTCTTTTCCTTCAAGGCAGCAAATTCCCTTCTGGCCCAGGGTATGTCTAGAAATGTCTTTTGGGAACAAGAGCCTAGAATTGGGACTTTGTGACTCTGATTGGTGCCCTATCTTGCTCTGTCTGGGCTGGTATCCAAGATGCAAGAGAAAGTCCTCCCCTTTCTTTACTGTCCTATCCTGAAGCAGAAGGAAAGGGTCTCTTTTGGAGCCATGAGCTGTGTAGCCTGAGGTTAAGAAAGGGGTAATGCCAGCCCTTCCTTAGCTGCCCTAGCTGGTGTCTCAGTATGTTACACACCCCACCTTCATCCCCTAGTCCACTGTCTCAGGTTCTAGTTCAGCACTAGGACTCACCCAAGAGTTGCAGTCTATGTAGTCTACACTGCCTTTCCATTTCATTTGGAGACACATAGCACTGTAGCTCTTGGTGTTGAGGTTTCTGGGAACTCAAGTTCTGACTGCTGGGATCAGCAATTCCTCCCTGGCTATGGCTGGTTGAAATGCTCCCTCCGTGGGTGGTCATCAGCTGAGTTTGGGCCGGTTTTCCTATGTGCTCTAGCAAGATAGCACTGAGCTTAATGCCTCACAATTGCTGTGTTCTCCCTCCTGCAGTGCCCAGAGATGCTCTCCACACCATGATGCTGCTGCTAGGTGTGGGGAGGTGTGGTGATGGCAATTCAAGACTGTTTTTTTAATTTCTTTGGTGCCTCTTTAAGCAATATAAAGTTTAAACTAGGTACTATAAGTGCTCAGTTGATTTTTGGTTTTAATGGTGTTTTTTTCTGGTTAGATAGTTGTTAAATTGGTGTCCTTGCTGGGGGAACAATGGATGGAACCCTTTATTCTGCCATCTTGCTTCACCTCTCTATTGTTAATAATTTAATAATGGTAAATTGGAATTTTTTTTAACTTCTCTGGACTTTATAGTTTTCTCATTTTTAAAATAAAAAGCTGAAATAAAACACTATTGCAACTGTAAATTATTTCAAGGAATATTTATTTGCTATTTCATTTTTTAAATATATATGTTATTTTCAGAGCAGTTTTATGTTCACAGCAAACTTGATTGGAAAATACAGTGTTCCCATATACACCTTTCCCCCATGTAGGCATACGCTCCCTACTATCACAATCTCCTGACAGAGAGGTATATTTGTTGCAATTGATGAACCTATACTGGCACATCATTCTCAACCAAAGTTTATAGTTTATATTAGAGTGCAGTTTTGGTGTTGTGCATTCTTTGGATTTGGACAAATGTATAATGACACGTATCCACCATTAAAGTATCACACAGAATGCTTTCACAGCCCTAAAGTCTCTTGTGCTTAGCCTTTATCCCTGTCTCCCCTAAACCGTTAGCAATCACTGATCATTTCACTGTATCTCTAGTTTCACCTTTCCAGAATTGCAATTCCATTTTTAAAATCCCTTCTAAGGAAAAACTCTACAAACTTACTTCTATGTTATCTAGCTTAGGGATTTGAAACTGTTAAAAGAAGAATAATAGAGAAATTAAATTTAGCAGAGTTCATTTGAGCACAAAAGAATTCATGAATCAGGTAGCACCCTGAACACGTAGAGGTGCAGAAAGCTCTACGCAGCAGTGTGAGCAGCAAGTTTGCATAGATTGAAACCAAAGCAAAGTAGAGAAATCACCTGATTGGCTACAACAAATAAGGCATCTGCCTTATTTGGGCATGGTGTGATGAGTTAGATGCCTGTGATTGACTGCAGCCTGGCTGATTGTGATTGGCTATAACTTGACTGTTTTTTATAATCCTAATGTTACTTTTGATTTGTTTATATACTAAGGTAGGTTTCAGTTCACTATGTAGGGACTTAAGGTACAGAGGCAGGCTCCAGGTAAGTTTAAATGACAATTCTTCCCTTTTGATCAGCCTCTCAATTTTAGGAGAATAACCAAAAATTTGGGCATTGGCATCACTCTCTGTCACCATCAGAATGGACTTGTTTGTTCTCAGTATGAAATTCACAATTAATGACATTGGGGTAGTTGAATGATTCTTTATGTTCTCCTTATGTTTTTCTTATTTTAAATGCAGTGAGACCATTTGACACACAACAGATGGCTGCATATTAGCACTTATGACTTGTGAGAGAATATGGCCTGTCAGGGAGACTATTGTGATGGCTATCAGGAAGATAATACCAAGAGGTTAAAGTGTACTTCTTCATAGGAGCTCTCATGAACCAAATCAATTAAAATATGTCAAAAAAATGAGTGAGAAGAGGAGTCTATTTGTTTTAAGCAAGTATCTTGTTTGTTCCTTTCTTACAATTGAGTTTCGATCACATCAAACATATTATCCAACTACAGCAAGAAATGTTAACTATCAACATATTTTCTAATGACCTTTTATTTACTGTTATAGCATCAGTCTTTCTGTATGGGAAAGCTTCTACATAACCAGAAAACCAGCACTGAAAGTGGAAATAGAATGAAATACATCTGTAAGTGTCCAAATAATCCACGATGCACCAGAAACATACCACTTGAGGTTTTTATTGTCTTACTAGGATTATGAGTTTGACAAACCAAACATTGGTTATAAATTATTTTATCCATTTTAAACAGTAACTTTACCAATTTTTTTAATAATTTGAGTCATTTTATCTCTTCCATAATGAGTCAGAGTCTGTAAAAATTTTAATGATATTAAAGAACTTGGGAAGGACCAGGCAGCCATCCAGATTCTCCATGAGTCCATGCTTAACATTGAATTTACATTCTTTGAAATGACAGGTTTGTTCTCCAATTCAGGTGCAAAACACTGTTTATTGACTAGGTTATCATAAGTAAATTAACTTGGGTTAATCTTACAGAGTTTATTTAACTTGCATATCTTAACAGTTTCAATTCCAGCTTACTTGGCATAAAACCATGGCAAAGCATGTTCTTGGTATTTAATGAATTCTTGTTTTGCTTGATGTTGACAGTTTTATAAACGAATTCATTTTTTCATTAAAGTTCTGGAAATTCTTACCTTGACCAATTATCAGTAAGTAAGGTAACAAGTAAGTACACTTGTTAGAGACTTTTATAGAGTCTTCTCAGAGATGAAACACTTTTAGGTTTATAGTTACTTGCAAAAACTTTCAGGAAAGTACCAGAATAAAGTAATTAGCTCTCTGTGAATGACAATATTTAAAATTTCCATGGTTAAAGATCTGATGAGAGTTTACTAAAACACAATGGGCAAGGAAATTCAATTGTTTCTGTAACATACAATATTCTAAGATAATAATTATGATTGTCACTGGTAGCATTATACCAAAACTTTCAGATTTCTAATTTCATCCAATTTATGAAGCACATATTAATAACATATCTATACAATAACTCAATACAGGTTCAGTATCAATTATTATTTCACAATGCTTTCCATGCAATTTAACGTGCTAAATAAGCCTACTTTGTCAACTCTCTGAAAGAGAGAAGAAACTTTTGTGGTATTCCAGTGGCCCACTGGAACCTCCCAAAGTTAGTTCAAAGTCAAAGATGTTAATTGAGTATTTGATTTTGGAAAGTCAAAAATGTCAAAAGATTTAAAGGACTTGATTAAAATAGAATCACAGTTTACTCTGAAAAATAATCATTCAGTTAACAAGAGTAAGAGTTAAAGACTTCAAAGGCAAATATGAAAATTTACATGGTTGTAGAAAAATCTTGATCTTTTAATAGACAAGGCTCAGTTTTCTTAAGTAATCAGAAGCCTGAAAAAGATAACATGAAGCTGCAGCCGTAAAAAAGAATGAGTTAATGTCCTTTGCAGGGACATGGATGAAGCTGGAAACCATCATTCTCAGCAAACTGACACAGGAACAGAAAACCAAACACTGTATGTTCTCATTCATAAGTGGGAGTTGAACAATGAGAACACATGGACACAGGTAGGGGAACTTTGCACACCGGGGTCTTCTGGGGCGTAGGGGGCAAGGGGAGGGATAGCATCAGGACAAACACCTCATGCATGCAGGGCTTAAAACCTAGATGTTGGGTTGATAGGTGCAGCAAACCACTATGGCACATGTATACCTATGTAACAAACCTGCACATTCTGCACATATATCCCGGAACTTAAAGTAAAAGAAAAAGAAAAAGAAAAAAAGATAACATGAAGTATAGCAGATCATCTTGATAAATATTGAATTTTTCTAGGCCAATTACCTAAAAAAGTAATAATATAACCTTTTACAATTTTATATTTAAAGCAGACTAATATTCCAATAAAATTGTGTTTTTTCACAGAGAGAATCAAATTCTATTTTTATATTAGTGTAGTTTTGATATTAATGCTCAATTTTAGAAAAGACTTATGAATAGTTCTCTTCTAATCTTAGCTTGTTCACATATAAAATTTATTTTCCAAAATTCATGTTCTACAAATTTTCTACAACTTGCTTATGTCTATTCAGTTTAGTCTTATACTTTTTCTTTTTCATTGGAACAACCAGTTGTACTTCACGATAAAAATTACTTTTTTTTCCTTAACACAACCAAACACTTTCCCATACCTTATAGCTTTGCTTGCCAAAAGCACATCTTGCTTTTCTCATATACTTGCATATAAAGTTGTTTCCCTTTTCATTTCTAACAACATTATTTACATATATTCATTAGAATTCTTAGTCTTTAATGACCTTAATTTCTAGCAAACACTAGGAAGCAAGCAATTGTAAACTATATGTCACACTAGCATCTACAGAGTAGACTTTCAAATCTATGAATTATAATTTCTAGGAGCATGTGCTTTTTCATAATATAATTTTTCAGTGTGGCACAAACTATGTTTACTAATAGTCCCACCTATCTTTAATTTATCTGTAATAAGAAACTGTATAGGAGGAAAAATTTTATCTCTATCCTCGTAGTTTTTTTGGCAAGAAGTGAGAATTAAATTTTTATTTACTCAGACTTATTATGCAGAACTTTCCATTCTTCATAATAAGAATATTAAAACCTTCTGGTATAAGAAGGACGTCTTTCAAATAGGAATTTTATCTTACATGCATCTATTTAGTTCACTTGTTTTTAAGAATTATACTTGGAATCCTCGAGATGGTGAAATATTAAACAGCTAGCTTTCCATCAGTTGGAGTTATTTTTTCTTACTGACAAATTTTAAAATGTAAAGGTAATATAAAATTATTTTACTAATAAACCTAGAAAATTGTACATGTGTATTATATTTAATGCCAACAACTCTGAAGGCATTCCTGTTTTAATCAAGCTAGCACACTTTTACTAGCTTATATTTACTGAAATTTATGCCAGATAACATGAACCTGAAAAACATTATAGGTTACTTTCTATCTTTCTAAGTGTGTAAAAAATATTTTACATAAGTGTTTCTTTTTCTTTAAGCCTATTAAATAAAAAATTTTACAATTTAATTTTGGCAATACCATGAGTAGTATAGGGAAATATCACATACACATAACATAATACAGACATATGTAAACATACAAACTCAAACAGATCTTATAGATTTTATTTAAATATTTTAGCCATGTGACAGGCATAATGACACAAAGCTCACTAATGCATTAAAGAATATCTAGAGCTAATTTTTTTTTTCTGGCCATGCCAATGAAGCAAGATTACTTACCTTGATGGTTAAAGCTTTTGACTACTGTTTGTGGAAAATATTTTTAAGATTTCAAAAATATATATTCTTGGGCGGGCACAGTGGCTCATGCCTGTAATCCCAGCACTTTGGGAGGCCAAGGTGGGTGGATCACAAGGTTAGGAGTTTGGGACCAGCCTGGCCAATATGGTGAAACCCTGTCTGTACTAAAAATACAAAAATTAGCGGAGCCTGGTGGCGGGGGTTTGTAGTCCCAGCTACTCGGGGGGCTGAGGCAGAAAAATCACTTGAACCCGGGAGGCACAGGTTGCAGTGAGCCGAGATCATGCCACTGCACTCCATCCCAGGTGACAGAGTAAGACTCCATCTCAAAAAAAAAAAAAAAAAAAAAAAAAAAACCTATATGCTTAAGGGTCAATCTTTGATTTTTTAAATATTTTAGATGTCTTTGAACATCAATTAGAGAATGTATCTCATTGCTTTTTTGACATTTTAGATTCTTTCTTTTCTAATGTGACTTACGAATGAATAATTTTTTTTAAGTTCCACACTCTGGACACTGTAATCCCAAGTTGCCCTTAGTAAGGTGTTAATCCATTTTTACAAAACCACACAGGTTCTGGGATCATAAATTTTTGTATCTCAAATTAGCTGTTACCCTAGAAAATAAAGTCACAGGCTCCTGGTATCCTAAACTTAGATTTAAAGAAACTTATTTTCAGTTACCTATCTGAGGTTTCTAACTGGATCCATTTCAGCTAGTTATCAGGTCCAATCCAATATTGGACCCAGTTCATTAAAATGATTGCTGAAATAAACTTCAATAATTCAAAACACAAATTTGTAGAGTTCAAATCTTACAGGGAACTCACTGACAACCTCTAGTTGCTCCAAGAGAACAATAGGCACAGTCGATCCTGGGAATCACCTTTGCTTGGTCACTCAGTGCTCCTGGGGTCACCAGAGGTCTTCTTTGAATCCCTCTTTTGATACTAAACCATTAAAAAGAAAAACTTCAGTCAAATTAAATATAGTAGAATTTATTTAAGGAAATAATAATTCATGAATTGGGCAGCACCCTGAACCACTGGAGTTGTAGAGAGCTCCACCCCAACAGCATGAGTATTGAGTTTCAGAGGCCAGACGAAAATAATCAAAGTACAGAAATTACCTATTTGGGCATAGTGTGATAAGGCATCTGCCTTATTTGGGCATAATGTGATGACTTGGCTGCCTATAACTGGCTGAAACTTGTCTGGTTGTGATTGGCTGAAAAATCAGCTATTTGTTATACTCAAGGTTGCTTTTGGTTGGTTTACGTACAAAGTTATGTTGCAGTTCACTATATGGGGACTCAACATATGGAGCAGCCTTAGGTCAAATTGAACTAATTTCACACGCTCACCATAAGAAGAGCAACAAGGTAAAGAAGAGAGTAAATTAGGTGCTCTAAATGTTGCAATACCAGCATCACCACAATCCCCCCACACAAATTATTGCAGACAAAATACTAACATTCCTATTGTCATAATAAGGGTTTAGGATGATAGAAAGCAGACACTTCTACCCTTTCTCTCATAAGACAGAGAGACAGACAGACAGACAGACACACACACACACACACACACACACAAACCCCTATAAATATACAAGACTCCCTAGGTTCAGGTCATAATTTGGCAAGTGTAAATTTTTGAACCTCTCTCTATTTTTATCTTCACTTTTCCCCTTTCCTTGCTCTGAGAGGCTGCACAGTAATAAGAGTGCTTCACTGCCACAAAGACAATATGCAGGCCCACACTAAATACTTTCGTAATGCTTTTCCTTTGGTTGCTAAGCTAGAGCTATTGTCACGAAAGCCTGCACATTTATCCCATGACATTCTTAAAATGCAATTATTATCTTATGTAATTCCAATTCAATTTCTACTTTGCCAAAAAGTCTATTTTCTCAGTATCATAACATGTATCAGATTTAGGAAACTCATTGGCAATATGAGCCTAAATTATTTAATTCAGGATGCCAATTTCATAACTATAGTAAGAAATATTCTTGGACATATTAATCATTTGTGTTGGCTTAAAATATATATCTTTTCCTTGTAGGTGAATTACATGGGAAGCCAAGTTATAAAAAGTTTTCTCAGTGAGAATAGAGTAAGAAGAGCTGAAGTTAGAAGAGAAGGGGATTAAATGCTAAATAAAATGAAAATGATGTCCTGATGCTTTCATATCCAAAATAAATTTACTGCTACCAGGTAGGTCTAGCATTTACATAAACATGCATACATTTCTACTTAGGAAATGGTTTTCCCCCTTAAATTATCTGCCAGGCATGATTAGTCTTTGTCTCATATGGCTTTTCTTCTTCTACTATTTCACCTGTAAGTGTTCACTTTTTTATTAACATTGTCTTGCTTTAGCTGTATTGCTACAGAATAGCAATACAGTAGGCAGTGTTTGGAATATGGGCATTGATGTCACACTGCGTGGAGTCTGATGACCCTTGGGCTAGTTGGGACCTATTCTTATGAGTTGTGTAACCTTGAGCAAGTTACTTAACTTGTCTATGTTTTGGTTTCCTATACATAAAATGGAAGTAGTAACAGCTAATTTCCAAATTTATAATACATGCCTGGCACAATTACTTAATATATGTAAATGGCAATATTTATTTTCATTCTGATTTTATTCACCTATTTGTCACCAGAAATAATTTTTATTTACTTAATGCACTTGTGTACATCTTACTTGATTAAAGATGTGTGATCTGTATACTTTACATTTCAAAGGAAAAGGGGATACTGTAATCAGTGTTGAACATAAGTTGAAAGTTGATGTCAAATCATGTTCAATGATGTGATGATGGGATGATGTGATGGTGCTACATGTGCACTAAGGATGTAAGGGAACTAGTTGTGAGACTGATGATAATGGAACAGATGAGTCAGCAGAAGAAGAGCAGACAGGAAAAGAAAGCAACTGAGATGATTCACATGTACATCATTCCAGCTCCCTCTTCCCCAAATCTGCCTGCTGAATTTGCATAATCTGCTTGCTAAATTTGCATCGGACTTGTTTTTAACCCTGAAATAAAATATTTTTTTTCCTGAGCTATATTGAGTTGTTTTCTCTTACTTGCAAATGATAATTTTGACCAGAACACAGAAATATTTCTGATGATTTATTTCTCAATGTGTGTGTGTGTGTGTGTGTGTGTGTGTGTGTGTGTGTGTGTGTGTGTGTTGGCAGATAGGCTACACATATCAGATGCTGTATTCAGTTGCCACCTACAATATGATCAATCAACAGAATGCATCATATGCTCAAGTGGTGAAATACATTAGTTCAAAGGGCAAAGCATATAATCTTTCAAATTTTATTTGCAAAGTATGGAAAGGATGACTCAGTTATCAAAAAAAGCAGACTCAGGAAAGAATACTGATTTTATTTCTTTGGCTTCCTGTTGATGTAGTAGGCAGAAAGGAAATTTAGATCTTCTTTCTTTTCTCTTTTAGTATTGTTTTAAATATATGTCATAGATATAGATAGATAGATAGATAGATAGATAGATAGATAGATAGATGATAGATAGATTTTAAGTTTCCTTCCAACACCATGCTTGAGACTTTCTTTCAGTGGGCAAAATTATAGTTCCCAAAAAAAAATCTTCAGAGATTTTCAATTCTGATAAGGTGGCAGAGAGAGATAAGTTAGAGCTCTTACTGCTATGAATGCATTGAAGTTTTAAGTAGAATTAAATTTTAAAATAGTTAAAATTATGTAGCTAGGGTCACTAGAATAAGACAGCTATACATATTGGGCAAAAGAAGAAAGCAAAGCTAGAGTGATAAGAGTAAGAAGGGAAGCAGAGAACATACAACCAACCCCTGCAAGAGCTGTAGAGCCATAGTCATGTAGTTCCATGCAAAACTGGGGATTGGAAGGAAACATTGTTTGGCATAGTGACATGAAAGATTATAGCTGTCACACTAGAGCTGTGTATAAAAAGAAGAGTGTATGTTTGATATGCCATCTGAAGACCATGAAAAATGAGTTATCAAATTGTTCGGGAGAGAGGGGCCTAGATTTCAGCTAGAGAAGCAATGACAGCAACAGAAGCACGGAGCAGGAGTGATCCGCATTATGAGGTAACAAGTGCAAAATCATTAAAATAGTAGTGAACCTCAGAGCCAAGAGCAAACCACAAAGTTTGAGTGAAGTCACAAGGTGGCGATGACTTACTAGCCACTTCAAAAGAGAACATAATGGCCATCAAGCAGAACACAAAAGCCACAGCAGACTCTGCAGGGGACATGGGAGACCTGTGGGCTGGGTGTCCAAAAGTAGAATGTCCATGGGTGAAAGATAAATTGTTCAATAACTTTCACTCACATTGTTTTATTATATTTCTACAAATAAATATGAAAGCTGGGGAGATACTTTGAAAACAGTGAATGAAGTTGCCTAAACGAAAACTAGAGATTCAGGGTGAACTGCCAGGAAATCATTATGAAACTTAAAAGTCTTGAAAAATACCAAGCCTTGAATAATAGCATACAGATTCTCTTTACTTTTTTTAAGCCATGCTAGTGAAATTTTTTCAGCTATACTCCTCCTTGATAATCGATAGATTCAATTACCTTCTAAGATGTAGTGAATCAAACTATGTACCACACAGGTAAACTATAATTATAAAGGAATAACTCATTCAAACTCTAAAGAGCTTTATATATACAATCTCACAGATTCCTGTTTTAAGAAAGCCCACCAACCCACCAGGAAATTGGTATTTCTAATGTTTTCCATCTTTTTGGTACATATTTCTTCAAATAAGTGTAACATATTTATCGGAATTTTTCTTGAAAACTATAGAAGGGTATTCTTGAAGTAATTTCCAGATTATTATATATGATCCAAGTAAACATAGGGCTGGTAAAGTAGTGCTGATAAAAAATTAATGATTAATTTAGCAGAACATTACCAAACTTGTGACTGAGAACATCAAGGTTGTAAGAGGTTGTAAGGTGTGACTGGTAGCCCTAAGATTATGGGTAAAATAGTAACTCTTTATATTTTATATTTTTAACTCTAAACTGGTATCTAAACCTAAATTTAAATCACTCAGTTTTATTTATACTGGTTGGAACTCTTTTCTAACACATATTATTGTTAAACATTTTATTTTGTATCTTGCAGGAGGGAAAAGCCTAAGAGAGCTGCATCCTTCCCTACTTGATTTTTTTTTCTCTGAACTGCTACTCACTTCACTGATTGAAAGTGAAACTAACTGCAGAATGTCAGTTTTTTAAAAACTGCATAACCAAAATTCGTGCTCATATTTCTGCTTTCATCCCAACTTCCACCATAACAAAAACATACATTGAAGATGAAGGAAAGAATAATTATCACTGCAACAATGCACTTCTAACATATTCTAGTCACTACATTCTGGGGGTATCTTCTCTATATACGTGCTGGTGAGAGGACCAATAGCACAACTGTGATAGTGTAAGTACCTGCTTAGATGATGTGCTCTAGGGCCTCACTACATAAAGTGTGTTTCACAGACCAGGAGCATTTTTACTACAAGGTTTCTTGTTAAAAAAAAAAAAAAAAAAAACAACAAAAAAAAAACCTTTATCCTTGCCCTGCTCCAGACTTATTCAACTGGAATCTGCATTTTAACAAGAACCCAGGTGATTTTTGTGCACATCACAGTTCAGGAAACACTATTTTAGTGACATCAAAACTGCATCCTTTCACTAATCAATCTTTCTCTCTTCTTTCCTCCTTATCTTTTCCTCTCTTTTCTTCTCTCTCCTATTTTATTTCTCAAGTGTTTATTCTCGTAATTTTTCTGTTTACTGTTTACTCATCTCTCTGCTAACCAGAAATATTCCCCATGAGAGTTTCTGTTTCTTCCTCTGTGTCAGATGGTAACATAGTTGGGGGATGCAAATGTACCTTAAAGTGCACATTTATCATGAGATAAAAGAAAAACCCATGGCTCTAAACTCCCACATAGCTCAGTGTATCCTATTATAGAATTGTTCCTTCAGAAGGCACAGAGAGTCCAACTCAAGGCTGACCAGAAAATGGGAGGAAACACCAGATACATATCAATGATTAATGATCAGATAATAGGTCAGAACATTGGGACAGGCGCTCCTTAATTGTGGTCAGATGTGAGAGACAAAAGTTTGGGCAGGTTCACAGTGAGAACCTAACAAACCCATGGGGACACTTAAGAGCAAAGGGAGAAATGGATAATCAGCTCAGAGAAACAACTTATCTGAGCTACCATCTTTTCTCTCATAGAACACTGCAGCAGTCTCCAAAATTACCTCCCTTCCTGACTACTTCTACTCCCCTCCTGATGGTTCTAGAATTTGTAACACTCAAATGGCATCCACCAAACTTATAATAAAATCCATCACTTCATCATGGAGTGAAATGCCCTGTGGGATTCATTCCCTGACCTCACCCCTACCACTTGCCTCTTTGCTCACTAAACATTATCTCACTGGCCTGATTTTTGTTCTTCACACACATTATGCTTTCAGAAACATTTAAATTGGTCTCTTTGCATGAGACACTCTTTGTTGGACACCTTCTTCTTAGGATGGTAGAAATTATCTTTGATCACTTATGATAATGCCTTTCTTGATAATCACTCTCGTTCCTAACACACTGTTGAATTTTATGCAGAGTAATTTATATCTGAAATAACTAATTTACTTGATTATTATGTGACTCATTTCACTTGTGGTAAACACTACAAGGGCTATGACCATGTCTTTCTTGCTTACTGCTCTATTCTAGAGTGTTAAGTTGTGCCTACATAGAGTAAGAACTCAGCATTTTTTAAAATTATTAATGACTGCCTTTTTATCAGGTTCATGCATAATCTTATTTAATATGCAATACAACCCAGTTTGATGTTACAATCACCATTTTATAGATGAGAAATAGGACTTCAAAGGGATCACTTATATAGTAAAAACATGCCTGAAATTCAAATCCAGACCTTTCTAATGTCAAAGAAAAGGCTCATTCTATATTCTAAACAGTTCATTTAGTCAAAAGATACCAGATAAAGGTGACTTATCAAGGGTATAGATGCTCATAAGTAGGGAATTGTATTAAAGGGTCCTTGGAAATAAATCTTGTTCTTTCATTTCTGAGAGTCTGTGGACCACTTTCAAAGTGACGCAACCATGCAATTGAAGACTCTGTTCTTTAGTTTTAGCTCTTAAAAGTAAATTCTTACTAATAGGACCTCATATTAGAGGCTATTTTCTCAGATGTCATATGGCTTGTGGTCATTTTTAACAATGTAAGGTTCTCATATTATGGAGAAGTGAAGAAAAATTATGCTTCACATGTGGCATCAGCAAGGGACATATTTCTATAAGGATTGTGGACAATATAGACAAGCATTTTCAGATATTTTTAACTATTTTAGTTGTTTTATTCCTGCTCTTTTTTTGCTTTATTTTTCCAACTGTAAGTATAATATACATTATTGTATACACACACATATACAAGTAATTTCTTTCATAAGTAGTTTTCTGACACACAAAGCATAAGGAAATATCAAAGGAAGAAAGTTTCTGATAGTACTCTCGCGTAAGGCTCCTGGAGCTATTAGTAGAGTCAAATGTAGAGGGTAAGAATTTAAAAGGAAGAAGCATTAGTTAAGGTACCAACTACTTACCTTACAAAATTTACTCTTCATCTCTTCTAGATGACTAATTTTATTCCCAGTACCCCCAAGAAAGCTGATGCTTAGAAAGGATATGTACCTTGCCCAATGCACACAGCCAGAGAGGAGTGAAAAGGACACTTTTACTTTTTTTACTCACTCAGGTGGTCTGTCCACAATCACATGCTATATTCACATTCTCTGGAGCTTGGTGGGATGAAGAAAATGGCACAGTCTGCATTCCAGGCATCACTTAATTTTAGAGGAAGGGAAGCGAAGAGACTTAAGTGGAAGAAATGATGTAGATGAATTCATGCCCAACAAAAGTAGAGTGTGACTAAATCTGTGCTATTAGACTTGGGTAAATATCAGAATGATGGAGGTGGGGGCATTTATTTTAAAATGCAGTTTTCTAGACCACCCTCCCAAATAACATAATGACACCACTCAGGGGTGTTGCTCAGGGTGTGTATTTTTTTAATCATTCCAAGTGATTTTAAAAATTGTCAAGTTCAGAGAAACACTGATTTAATTAATCTCTCTGCCATTTCCAGGCATGAATTCATCATTTATTTTTAGTTTCCATCAGTCATCTACCATTTACCAAAGTTTAAATAGCTGTAAGTTTTGCTATAAACAGGTATATAAAGACATTATAGAAGCTCATTATTGCCTTTCAGAAATTTATTCATGCACAAATTCACTGATTCTAGTATGTTCAATAAGAAAATGGATTCAAGAATCAGACTGCTTTGGAGTCTAATGTCAGCAATGGTCATTACTAGTACAGTGACTTTGAACAAGTAATTAAATGAATGCCTCTAAGTTTCTTTCTTTCTTTTTTGAGACGGAGTCTTGCTCTGTCGCCCAGGCTGGAGTGCAATGGCATGATCTTGGCTCACCGCAACCTCTCTCGGCCTCCAAAAATGTTGGGATTACAGTTGTGAGCCAACACACCTGGCCGCCTCTAAGTTTCAATCACACCACTGCACAATGATGACAGCAAAACTAGTACCTGAATCATAAGGTTGCTGTTATGTCTAAGACAATAGTTGTAAAATGTTAAAGCAGTAACCAATATTTAGCTAATGCTAATTAAATATTCATTATTCCCTATTGGGAATCTAGCAAGAACCAAGCCTTGTGCTAAATAAAAAACACAAAAAGAGAAAAGATGGTTATAAAGATTATCCTGTGGCTACAGTTTATATGCTCTTTTTGGATATTGATCTTATCATTCCCCCTTATACAAACCATATTTAAAGTAGTAAATTACAATTACTTTTTTAAACTTTGGGAAGCTGAGCATAAGTTCCCCCTCATTATCTTCTATACACCCCCAAAAAGAGAAAGGAATAGATAATACCACATTATGAATTAGTCTCTGATCCCTTAGGATTGGAAACTGAATTAAATATTCTGAAATTCAATTTCTCTAAAGGGTCACTTTCTTTGTTAAAAAACTTTTGTTTTAAGTTCATGGGTACAAGTGCACGTTTACCCCTTCTGAAGGAAAGGAAAGATTGCAGTTGAGTGAGATTTAAATAACACGGATTACATGAGTAAATTAGTCTTCATCTGGGTAAAATTTGAATTGACACACAAAAGTAGATCATATGCAAAACATATTAAATAAATATCTAATTACTATTGTGAATCTATGAGCTATAACTTTAAAGCTCAGAAGTAGGAAGAAGAGGCAAATAATAATAATAATAATAATTGTTATTATAATGTGCACCAGAATAATCAACATTCTATTTTTTAAATTTAAATTTAAATCTATAATGGTATTAATTTCCTTAGTTTGATATTACTTACTGAGTACATAATACCAGAATGTAATCATATTGTAACAGTTACAGAATGCCATCTTTCCTGAGCTACCAACTTCAGTGATAGCCTAACCAATGCAGACATTAGGAAGAGGTAATAAGTAATAACATATGATTTACATTTTTATTAGAAAGCATTGTTTAAATTTCTACTAAGCAGTGGTTACTGGAGACAACTTCAAATAAGTATTTTTGAAATCACTGTATAAATAGTTAAAACTACAATGGGCTTTGCCTACTTTGTTATAGTTTTCTTTTATATTATCTTTCTCACCATATATTAATCTGTACACTTAAAGCTTCATGTCTTTGTCCTTCCTTCCCCTTTCTTACCACCCACCCTTCACACTGCAAATTTAAAGCCCTGAGCTTCAGGATATTTTTAAAATCATAGGAGACAGACATCTTCTTTCACACTGGAATAGATAATTACTGGAATGACATAACCGAAACATAGCCATAGTACTAAGGTTTTATTATTGTTATTATTATTATTATTATTAGGCAGCCAAATTTGATTCCGCAATAACAGTGTTGTATGACTGTGGGAAAATAACTCACGATCAATGTTTCCATGTGTAACTTCTTTTAAAAAATGATTCATGTTTAATAACATAAAACAAAAAATGCATTTGATAAGCTGTAAAATTTATCACCAAAGTCAGGATGAAACACATAAGCTCACAGAAGCTGAAGGATATTTTTTCACCAGATCATACGTTACAGTGCTTATTGTTAAAGCTGATGTAAAATTCAAGGTTTATATTATTGCCTTCGATGACCATTTATGGCTTAGTATAGAGAAAGAGCAACCAGTCAGGCTAGAGTTTCAGATGAGAAATTGTTTTTTACTTGTCGTAAGTGAAAATACAGAACGTGCAATAGTTCTTTCCATTACTTGGAGTGTCAGGGAAGACTCAACCCAGATTAGAAAAGGTATCTGTTGGGATAAACAGGAAGCTGAGGAGCTACTATTCTCCAAGGTTGTTCTAGATTCTCTTAAAAATGGAAACTCCCACCAGTGGTTTCTCTTCAAACTTTCTACTTTCAGTAGTGTCCCTCAGCTGTAAAAATAAAAGGTGAGGCAATAGAATACGACTTAGCCATGAAAACGAATAAAATTTTGTTATTTGCATCAACAAGGATGGAACTAGAGGACATTATGTTAAGTGGAATAAGCCACAGAAAGATAAATATTGCACATCCTCACTCATATGTGAGAACTTAAAAAAAGTTAAACCAGATGCTGGAAAGGACAGTAAGGAGGTGGGGAATAAAGGAATGACTAATAAGTACAAAAATACGGTTAGATAGAAGGAATAACAGCTAGTGTTTGGTAGCACAATAGAGTTACTATAGTTAACAATAATTTACCATATATTTCAAAATAACGAAAAGAGTAGAATTGGAACGTTACTGACACACAAAAAAAGATCAGTGGTTGAGGCGATGGATACCCCAATTACCCTGATTTGATCATCACACATGGTATGCTTGTACGAAGGTAGCACATGTACATCATCAATATGTACAACTGTTATGTATTCATAATTGAAAATTAAAAATAAATGAATAGAGGACAAATAAATTATAATATTCCTTTTGTCTTAGAAACCACATATTTCCATTTTATATAACTTTCCTTGGAACTCTAAGACAACTATCCCAAGTGATTTAGGGTATGTAGTAATAATGGTTAAGCATGTGGGCTCTGAAAATGTAATGTGTTTAATTCCAGTTTCACCACTTACCAGCCAGCAGATTGACTTTGGGTAAATAACTTAAATATCTTTGTGTCAGTTTCTTTGTATGTGAAAATGGGCTAAACATTATACCTATGTCTTAGGGCTTTCTTGAGTTTAAACATATTAGCACATGTAAATTATATAAACTAGTGCCTGCAGGCAATAAGCATTTAATAGTTGTTATAAGGTACAGCAGAATCAGGCATGACAGAAGCTTAGTCTTTCAGACTCATGGATTCTAAATATATGAACTCTCCGCACTGGAGCTTATGTAAGAGCTTTTGGGTTGGAAATAAGTAAAAGTTGTGGCAGAAAATCCAGCTACTAGCATCCGCCTATGCCATCTTGTGTTTTCTTGGTAATTCTTATTAGCTTCATCTGTAAAATAAATGTTGTATGATTCTTTCAGATTTGAAAATTTCTCAAATTGCCAATCAATGTCACTGTTATATAGAATTAGTCACGTAACGGATTTTTTTACTTTAAAGTTTTGTGGCCATCCGTTCATTGAAACATACTGTGTTTTGTGTTTGGGAGTGGGGAGGAGTTGCAATAATCCAGTGACTGGTAGTGAAGAGCAAAGAATGGGAACGACGTTATGGTTTTTCTCTGCAAAGAAACCATATGTTGTTTTAGGCTGTTATTCCTAAAATGTGGAAGCTGAGACCCAGTGACTGACTGACAAACCAATACTTTATTGGTATTGACTTAAAGAAAGTATCAAAATTTTGATTAGCAACTCTTGTAAGAGAATAGCATTGCATTTGGTATATTCTTCTGATCATCTCTCTTCTCAGCATCATACCCTTTACTTGTATTCCCAACATCCACCTCTTGGCCTAGAAAAGTCTCCCTCATAGGCATTTCTCAGCTGAACATCATAAAGCCTAACCACCCTCTTTTACAAAGAACTTACCTCTCCAGAAATCCTTCCCTGTAGCTCTAAACTATACAATTACCACCTGTGATTATCTAACATTGTAAGAAGAAAGATAAAACTTTTTTTAAAAAATCTCAAACTCCTAAATTCTGATTCAATTAAGTAGAAATATGAAGGCTCATCCACCTTACTATTTAATTCACACATTTCAGGTCAATTCTCTATTCTTAAAAATTTTCTCTGTACCTCCTCTTTTTTCCCTTAATCACAACACCAATCTCATTCTCACCCAACTTTCTTCATTTTTGTCTCTTTCTCCCTTAAAAAATCACAATCCCTTAATCACAACCCCAATCTCATTCTCACTCAACTTTCTCTATTTTTGTCTCTTTCTCCCTAAAAAACAAAAAGAAACAAATAAAATGATTTTGTAAATAGAAATATACAATCTGGATTTCTCCCCAATTATACCATAAGATGCACATTGTAAGCAATAAATAACTCAATTAACTTGCTTTCTATGCATCTTGTTTGATTCTACTTATGTATTTTCCTGGGAGAAGTGAGGCCCTTACCTTTGTTCAGTGTGATTCAGATATAATTTTACCCAACTTCACCTTTAAACAGATAGGGGAAAATATGCAATTTATGAGTTTAGCTGATGGGCCAGCTCAATAGAAGTGGCTTATTTTATACTGATAAATTGGATATGGTAGCACTGAAGCAAAAATGGGCCCTATTGTCCAAGGTCATTTTCTTACACATGCTGTCACTATGATACTGCCCGCTTTTTAAAATTTGCCATTGCTATCTTTCTCTGCTTACATACAATTAGTTTTATTAAATCTCCAACAGTTCAAAGGGCTCTTTTTAGCATTTTATAGGGAGAAAATATTGAGAAAATAGATTTTTCATGGTCTGGCTATAAATACATAGGTACCTTTTGAGTGAGGAATGAAGTACACAAAAGACAAGAGGACTGGACTGCTGCTTTTTAAACTCAGATTACATAATATATTTCTAATTTATTTCCCTAAATGACAGAAGGAGTTAGAATATAAATTAAATACAAATATAAATAAAAATAACGATCTCATCTAATGATAATATAATATCATTAAGTTGTAAGGATACATCTTTTTGGATTTAAAAACCCAGCTCTAGATTTATGAAAGTGGACCAAATTGTTTAAATTCATATATCAATTACTTATTTATTTTTTACATGTTTTCTACTTGATCCTTGCTATGAAAACTCCAAATATGTTTGGTCCTACCAATCTGGACTTCAAGAAGAGACTCCTAAGGCTTAGATAAATGAATATTTATTCCAAATATATAGATGGTAAACTGAGAACCAGACCCCAAGATTGGTTTTCCCTACCTAAATCTAGTGCTCTTTAGATTCTTAACACACTGCTCTCTCCTATGAATAAGATAATTTCATGACTGAGTCATCATTACATGGCATGTAAATAATGATACTGATTATCCTTATAGTGTAACTATGATAATTGCTAGTATAACAGTATTAAAACAGTGATATAGAAATACTTTCTATTTCTAGAAAAATTGAATCCCAGAAACAGTGTATGGTTCAGGCCATGTGTACAGAGAATAACCACACTTGATGCAAACCCAACATACAGTTGAGAGAATGAGGAGGGTGGAGGCTGAGAGAATGAGCTCTGTCATCATATAACCTGATAATTAATCTCTACTCCACCAATGACTACATGTATAATTTGTGAGCCATTACATATTCTGTCTGCGTCACAGTTTTCTCAATTGGAAATTAAGAAGTTCCTATGTTATAGAATTTGTCATGAGAATTAATCCTTATAAAGTTCTTAGAACAGCCCCTGGTACATAATAAATACTCAAGAAAGCATGTAGTCAAAAATGTAAATGATGTTGATTATGTGCTTTCAATTAATTAGTGACCAAGAATACTTTAACCCCATTGTTTACTTACAAAAATGAAATGAATTCATGTTTGGCTCACCGAGGTTGTAGCAGCACTAAACTCTCTACTATACTTGTTTGCTGTTTCACAATGCTTACATGAATATGCACTCAATCTGGAAAGTCAGCATTAATCAGAATTGTAGGCAGCATTAATCAGAATTGTAATCACGCCAAGAAGGCTGTAAAAACAAGAACCCATATTTCTTTTACCAAAGACTAGCACAACTCTGAGACATTTTGAGATCTGTCCCCACTTTACTCAAGTGTAACTGCATCAGCAATGAAGATACTTTGTATTTTTCTGACCTTTGTCTTCACTGTGTCTTGTGGTCCATCAGGTAATATTTGTTATTATAAAAAAGATGTGAAAGGCAAAATGTTCTTATAAATGCTTTACTCTGAAAATAATAAAAACAAATAAATTATTGTTAGGAGATTTCATATGAACTCCTTATAAGGCAATTTTCTCTATTTTTTCATGGGGGAAGAAATGAGTAGAACTGGTAGTTGAGAAAATAATTTTTAAAACTTCCTGAGATGTAGAATTAAATTTATTTATTGTGTTGTTTTGTGTGATGACACTATAATTTTTTAGATACTTCCCACTGCCTTCTGTTTCAAAATCAATTTTACCAACTGCTATTGTAGCTACCATCAAAATTAAGCTTTTTACAGCCAACCTAATGATTGCTAGGGGTAGAGAGAAAAGGGGTTGGAGGTGGATGATTATTTAGAACACAGAACATGTAGGCTATTTCTTCCATGTCTTTTTCTCTTTACTCTTGAGGAAGCACACACAAATTAGATATTTAAAAATGTTCTATTTATTAAATGATAATTTAAAAAGCTGGTGACAAAAGCAATATTGTTAGATAAATAAGTATATTATACCAGCTGAGAGAGGGAAAAATTTCAATAGAGTTGCTTGGGCATGATTTCAGAAACAAAATGGTTTAACTCTACATTTTAAAGAGTTTATTCATCTCTGTATCTAAGGATATTAAATCTGGACTTATGGTCATAGCTACTTTTTCCTAGTTCCACAGAAAAAAACAAGAGAAGTTGCAGAGAGAAAAAGAGAATGTCAGCTTGTTCGTGGTGCTTGCAAGCCGGAATGCAACAGCTGGGAATATGTATATTATTACTGCAATGTTAACCCCTGCTGTGCGGTATGGGAATACCAAAAGCCAATCATTAACAAAATCACTAGTAAACTCCATCAAAAATAAATTATAATTATAAAACACTGTATAACAATTTTACTAATAAAAATGAATTTTTGCTATCTATCAATCTATATTTAAGTTGTTGATCTCTGGCCTTCTGGATTACACAATTATACCATGGCTAGTGAATTCAATGTTGGCTTAGTACAAGAGAAATAAAGAAAAAAAGAGTGGTAGCATCTTCTTCATTAAATTGGCAGAAGTTTATCTCCAGCCATGAGACAGAGGACTTTTGATTCTTGTTCTCTTCATCTCTGACCTATTTATTTGCCTGGTACAGAAACATTTATTTTCATATGATCTTTCATATAGTAAACATAAATTATGGTTTATGTGCCTTCTCTTAGTTTCCATATAAATGTGTTTGTTTCTTGGACACAAAGTTATATAGATGCTAATCACATAATAACAGAAGACTGATAAAAACAATTTTAAGAAAGAGCTAATCAAACTGAAAAGGGAGTAAAATGGAATATATTAACACCTTACCCATGTAAAAATACATCAAAAGAGAAAAACAGCAGGAGGAAAAACACTAAACCCTAAGAGTAGTTATGTTGGAGAGATGAGTTCATGGCTGATTTATTTACTTCGTTATAATATTATATTGTTCTACATATATACTTATAATTTTGTGATCAGGATAAAAGCAAATTAAAAACATCTTAACAGCTTTTTAAATTTTAAAATAATATGAAAATTTAGAACAATATAGAAATGTTCAAAGATAAAAAAGAAAAGTCACTTCTAATTCTAACATCCAAAGCTGACTATTATAATCAATCTTAAACATAGGCTGCCAATCCAAGGGTCTTCTCTCTTGGTCCTCAAGAATTTTATTTAACTTCTTTCATCTTATACTTCAATACTTAATGCTTCTGTTTTTGTCCTTGTCTTCAATGAATTCATTGGGTTTCCAAGTTTCCACATTCCACATTAATTTCTATTATACTATTAAAATAACTTTAACATAAATATTCTTATTAATTATAAAGCATCAGTAAAACTTGGCATTCAGGATTTAAAGTATCCACCAAATGTATTTCTTACTTAAACCTATAACAACAATTTGGACAGTATAAAAATTTAGGGCAGAGTTCTGACTTAGAAGAAATCAAGGAGTTTCAGTGAATTTTAGGTTTAAGAGAAATGGATTACTTGCAGTTTTCTTATTTGAAACATTTACCTAACTATGTGATCACTCATTAAAAAATATAGTCAGAGGAGCAAACTTGGAAAGGAGCACTTATAACATATTAGGTTTACACTTTTCTGCTATATTCATGTGTGAAGCTCAAGAAAGAAAAAATGTGCTTCCAATATAGATTTGTCGAGCCATTAACCAAAGCAATGAGATAAAATCACCCAATGAAAGGCTACAGACCAAGGTGGAAAAGTATGAAATCCCAAGGAATAGGATTTAAATAATTCTATGTGAAGAACTGGAACCCACAAAGGAGGATAAGAAGGAGTTAGCCAATGTGAAATCACTCCTAGGCTATGTCTCTCAGGTGAGTTTTCAGACATAAAGAAAATAGGCAACCTCATACCCCATTATATTCTATGTTAATTTTTTGTCACGCACAATTCATGAGCATAATAAAATGTTGTGTTTTTCTTCTACTTTAAGCCAACAAGTTTTAGAGTAGTTTATTGCACAAGAATATAAATCAGAACAGAGCTTAACTTTCAGACCACAGAAATTTTTGTTAAGTAGCAATAAGCAAAAAATTATGGGTAGGACTTCTGGAAAAATGGAGTAAAAAATTCAGAAAATCTGCTTCTCCATAAAAGGAAGAAAAAGATCGTCATAAAATTGTCTAAATCCACTTTATAAAGAGCTCTGCAAATTAACTAGACTTGCAAAAAAATCCAAGGAGCCTTTCTTTATTCAAGAAAAATTACTGAATCTCCACAATTCTTCCCTCATGAGGTTTTTAGCTTTGTTTAAATGCAATCACAATCTAATTGAATAATTAAAATCTTGTGGAGAGAGCTAAGATTTCTGGTATAGAAACTTCTGCCTCTGGAAAAATAGCAAGGTTTCTTCTTCAAGATATAGGGAGTCATATGGCATTCTACTTGTAGTAAGGAAGCCCATTCAGCCCGCATTCACAGACTTTACCATGAGAATTCCATTGCAGAGAGGAAAAGATATGCATGACAACGGAGGAAATCCTACAATGTATTCAGTTCTTCATCCAGCATATAAGTAAAATCAGCAGCATGAATATCTAAGATCACAATGACAAACAGAATGCTAGATTCTGAGAAAACAGATCAAGAAAAAGAATATAATGTAACACAAAACAAACAAACAAAATCTCTCTAAAATGTATTTACAGAGGTATTCAAGAAGCCTTTACATCTATAATACAGGACTATAATTCTATGACATAAGAATAATCAAAGAACAGAAAATGGCACTTATATTCCTTTTTTAGCAAACGACAAAATTTTGCTTAAAAAATTGCAAAAGCTAAATATAAAAGTAAAAGATTTATTTAAAATCAAAAAATAACAAAAAGACATAAAAGTAGGAGAGAAAATTATAGAGAAATGGCTAAATGTTTGACTTAAAAACATCCCCAAAAGAGAGAAAATAAACAAACAAATAAGGAGGGAAGAACTTATCTGAGGAAAAAAAATATAGAAAGAGGAAGAAAATTTCCCAGATCCCAGGAAAGATATAAGCTCACCAATACCAGAAAGATAACTTATTCATAAGAAATTTACACCAAGAAATGTGTGAATCATAAAGTTTGGGAGACTGAATCAGAAAACCAATGTCCTAATGACATCAAGAGAGAAAAAATTAAAACATTTAAAAGGAGCTATCCAGGCATTAGAGTTTTCATCAGGAAGACTGGATGCCGGATGTTAGTAGAGTAACAGCTTCAAAGTTGTGAAGGAACATGATTTTGAACCTAGATTTAACATCCAAATAACTAAATGTGAGGGCAGAATAAAAATATTTTTTAGAAACAAAATTCTAATTTAAAAAAATCTTTTCTGAAAACAATTCTGGAGGGAGAAAAACAAGAACAACAACAAAAAAAGACACAAGATCCAGATCACGGTAAATTAAACTCAGGAGGGCAGGTTTAGAAAAATCTTAGAATGAAGCAATCTCAGGACTCACCTATGCTACTCAGATAAACTTGACGATAGAGAATGCCTATTATTTATATTTTGTCCACATATACAAAGAAAACTGCAGGAAGAAATACTCTTCAATAATGACATAACCAAATATAAAACAAAATAAAAACACAAAAAAACACTTAAGAAAAAAGAAAGCAGAAAGAAGAAAAGAAAGATATAAAATAAATTATTGGTAATAATGTTAATAATAATGTCAATTTGACTTTGAAACCAAGAGCATTTCTCTTTGATTAACCCAAGTGTTGTGATATTGGGCACATAGAAAAAGGCAATATAATTGATAATACTTATTGTACTACAGTCTAAAAATAAAGTGTATGTTTTAATTCTAATTATACATAGAGTACACATATTATCTTACACAAGATGAAAGGAAATGTGTAACAAATGAATGAGGTGTAAAAAGTGGGGAGAATTGCTGGAGTAACTAGCAAGAGGGCTAATATTTTCATTTTAAGTGAGGAAGGCTTAATATTGCAACTACAGTTGATAGGAAAAATATAAGTGTTTTATTGAAGATTATAACATTTTTAAAAAATTAACATAACTTCAAAATATTTGATAAAGATAGCCTAGAAAAGAGTGTAAGTAATCTAAATTTGTAATTTTCTTAGTAGAAACCAAGAGATGTACTCTGTTTGGTAAGCCAAGATAAGATATAAACTACATCCTTGTTCTTATGTTAGTAATCACTAGAGGGCCTAGTGGGTAGGAAATTATTGCTATTCATTACAGTCTCTTCTCATTATTTATTGTGTCCATGTAATTAAATATTTAAATGTTAAAAAAAGTGGAGAATTATTGAGCTTTACTAGGAAAACAAGAGTTTTGTGAATATTTAAGTTCCATCTCAAAAATGTAACAGAAATTAGTGATAAAAGTGAGGCTTAATATTTGGGTCTTGTAAATGAATAATTTGGGGGAAATTAATGGGATAACATGATATAATTAAAATTTTTTGATATGCAGGCATATTGATGAATTGACACACCAGATTAGTGATTACAGTAAATTTTGAAAAGTAATCAGCAGATTAATGGACAATGTTCAGCTGTTTTATTTCTGAAGTAGTAAATAAGTATTTACCTTAAATTTATTCCATGGATGCCCCTTTGCATTGATCATTAATTAATTAGCAATGATAGGAAGATGCCATGTTTACAGCTATCATTCACAGAGGGATTCCTTCCAAAAGCTCTATTATTTTCAAGTGTTTTCAATTTGGGTAATTCTGCCCACAGCCATAGTCATTGGAGCAGAGATAGGCACACAAAATTAAAACAATTTCCAGATAACGAGAGTTTCTCTTCCATGAGAAAACTATAAATAGTAAACGTCTTTTGGGTTTTGGAAAGTTCTATAGTCTCTATATTCTGTTATCAAGTCTTTCAACAACTTCTTTCTACAGAATGAGGATCTTTTACTATCTCCATTTTCTGTGTTATGTGACCTTCATTCTACCAGGTAAGATAGATGTCTCTGTTATATTTGTGTAAAACTTCTCACTAGAAATAGAAATAATAAATTATTAATTGTAGAATGCAAATTTTTAATGCAATCTTATCAATTAAATAAGTGTCTTTATTATACTGAATCTTGGTTTCCTCATTGATAATATCATTATACTGGTGTACTGTACCCACCTCATTCTCCAAATATGTAGATAAAATGAGATAATGAAGACAACATCTTTCAATTTTTTTGGACTGAGTTTTCTTCTAGATATTTAAATTGTTCAGAAAACTATAATATATTAAATTTATTTATAAGTCTCAGAAGTGAAAGCTTGAAAGTAATTAGACCCTAGAGAAACTGAATGAACTGAGAACAGCAGTGTATATTTCTTGGAATATCAATAACAGAATCTATAAGATGATCAAATGGATATTAGAAAATATTTTGAACTGAATAGTAATAAAAATGAGATAAATCAAAGTTCATAGTAGGGTTTACAAGGAAATTAATATAGTTATATCCATATATCTAAAAAGAATTAAAACTAAAAATGTAACTAAAATTTTAACTGATGAAGTTAAAAAAGAAAATCAAATTAAAATGACAGTTACAAACATGTAATAAGACTTAATTAGATGTAAGTAGAAAACAGACACTAGAGAAAATAAAGAAGGCCACATTTTGTTTTTTGAAAAGACTAACAAAATTAATAAAGCTTTGACAAAACTGTAAAGAAAAAGTGAAGGCAAAACTAAACTTTATCAGAGATATTAGTATATATGCTACAGATATCAAAAAGATCATGGGAGAATATTGTGAACAAGAAACTTTTTGCATCTGTATTAATGAGTAATTTTCTTTCTTGTAATGTCCTGATCAGTTTTAGTACCAGGTATTGTTGATCTCATAAAATAAGTTAGAAACATCCTTTTATTTTCTATTATCTGGAAAAGTTTGTGTATAATTGGTGTTATTTCTTCTTTAAATGTTTAGAATTCAACAGTGAACCTATCTGGGCTGGGTATTTTCCCTATAGAAGCTTAATTATTATGGATTCTATTCCCTTAATGAATTTGGAAACATTTAGATTTTCTATTTCTTTTTGTTGTTGTTCAGATTCATTATGATGTAATTTTTTCAGAAATTATCTAATACATATAAATTTTTGAATAAATCAATGGAGAATAGAGAACCCAGAAACAGATAAAGATGGCACTACAGAACAACGTAATAAATAAGCTTTTCAATAAATAGGGCTGGTTCCATTGCATAGCCATATGAAGAAAAAATGAAGCTTGACTATTGCCTCTTACCACATCCAAAATCTCATTCCAAATAACCTGAGATGCAAGCATGGAAAAAGGCAAAACAATAAAGCATGCAAGTTAATGTAAAAGAATTTACTAACAATTTTAACATACAAGTAGTAGTATTTCTTAATCAGTAGAAAAAATAGTATTGACTACATTAAAATTTGGAAACTTTTGTCAGTCAAAAAACACCAACTAAAAAAAGCAAGCTCTATATGGAGAAAAATATGTTCAATACATTTAGCATATAAAAGGAACACAACTAGAATATATAAAGAACATACATAAAACAGTATAAAAAAGACAGACTGTCCAATAGAAAACCAAAGATGGATCACTTTCTAAATGATAGATATTTATTAGGTCAGTAAACATAAGAAAATATGTTACCCTTTTTCAGTAATCAGAAAAATTGGCATTTTATTATGAAATATAAAATGGGTTAAGATATATGAGGTGTCTACATTCACATCATAATTACTAAATTGAAAATATCAAGCATTTCTTAGATTTTAGATGTCTGAAACTATTATTCAATGCTTCTGGAAGTTTAAGTTAGCACCAATTATTTGAACATCTGTTTGGCATTATCTATTAATGTTGAAGCTATGTAGACACCTTACCATTGTATTTCACCCTTAGGGATATGCCCAACAAAAATGCCTGAGCATGTGCCCCAAGAGTCAAGTACAAAAGTATTCAAAAATGGGAAACAACCTGAATATTCATCAGCAGATAAGGCTAAAATGTCGTATATGTATGTAACAGTCCACTATATGATAATGAACATGGAAGAATTATAGTTATACAAAACAAGAACAAATCTCAAAATACAATATTGTGAGTGAATAAAATCAGATGTAAAAATATATGTGCTGTACTGTTGCATTCACATAAAGCTTTAAAATGAGCAGGCTTAAACAAAATATAAATCAAGACAATTTTTTTTTAACTGAAAGAGTGAAAGGAATAGTAACTGTAAGGGGGCACAAGTGTGCCGGAAATGTTCTATTTCTTGACTTGGGTAGTGTTTACATAGGTCCTTAATGTTTAATAACACTCTTAGCTGAGCATTTATTTTTGGGTACTCTTCTGCAAGTTTGTTTTATTTTCTTTTTAAAGTTCATACATAAAGAAATAAAATACAATAAAGCATCTGCTGTTTCTATTACACACTTTTGTAATCTAAGCTGTTTCTGTTTCAAAAATCCATAGCTATATTCATAAAATGCAATTGATAGCTGAAAGAGATCTAGAGTTTGTGAGTTTAGCATATAACAACATTAAGCATACAGTGAAAATCATTTAAAGAGGTGAAGAAATTATTTTAATAAATAGTGTGGAATAATTATTTAATCATTTAAAAGAAATGAAGTTAGCTACATATCTGACAAGTACAGTTGATATAAAGAGAAAAATACTATAATAAATAAAATACTATGATGAAAAAATCTATGCAAGAATTTCTTATTTTGAAGTTAGAATAATACATTAAAATAGATTATTTTTGTACATTTCTGCATATAAAAATACAAAATTGTTTACATTTTTTAAATTGAATATTTATGTATCTTGTAATGAAAATGTAATTGTTTAAAATCCATAACTAACAATATAAAAAACAACAACTAAGGAAGACCAATTGGTGACATATATGACAGACAAAAGTTACTATCCACAATATATTTTTAAAATTCTTATGAACTTATTAATTTTAAAAAATTCCAGTTATATAATCAACAAAGCATGTAAAAAATTTTATAAAAAGAAGGAAAAGTATTCAACATAAATAAAGACATAACAATTAAAATTGCAATGGGGCAAAAATTGCATAAATTTTTGTGGCAGTACCAAAACTCTAAAATTAAACTTTTTTACAACTATCATAAGGATATATCATATAAGTATTAAATTATGTAAACCACATTATCATAATCCTAAAATATTAAAAACTTTAGATATGATATGATTGTCTGAAAACAGCTGAAAGATTATGCACATTGTCGTGTAGCTCTACAAATATCTTGAATTTTTTTTTGAGAATAATATGTGTCATGAAGTTTTTAATCATATATTAATTTTAAAACAAGTTTTAATTTTATATATACATGGGGTATAAGATAGTTATATATATTTGGGGTATAAGATAGTTATATATACATGGGGTATAAGATATACATGGATTTATTTTTTTTTGGTATTTTCTAAACTTGATACAATGTACACATCATACTCTATGAAATCAGAAGTAATATATGCTTAAATAAAAGATTAGAATTTCTGTTACTCTTCTTTTACCGTAGCCACATGTACCTTGGTGAATGCTGATCGTTGCACCAAACGTTACGGTCGTTGTAAAAGAGACTGTCTTGAGAGTGAAAAGCAAATAGACATATGTTCCTTACCAAGAAAAATTTGCTGCACTGAGAAATTGTATGAAGAAGATGATATGTTTTGAAAAGAAAGGCATACCTCTGAACAAAGAAGTTACATGTGCACCAGTGCAGAGAGGTGTGGGAATATAATTAGGACTTCTGAAATAAATAATTAAATATATAAGCCAATATTGCTATCTTCCTTTGTGAGTGTTAATTTCATATACAATGGAATGAGATAGAAATTCTCTTATTTTTCCCAACTAACAGTTTTGATATAAGCATATCTGGAGCTATGTTTGCCCTACTTTAGGTCTAGTTTTAATCTGTCTTGGGCCACCTAAACTTATACAATTGAATGTTTCCCAATTTAGCCATGATCTCATTAGAAACTTGATTCATGAAAATCAATATTTATGGACTTATCAGTTGTCTAAATATCACCATCAGATTATTGGAGTCAAGACACAAAAAGCCTAAGCAAGAGCTAAAAGTATAAGTTCAGGAGAATACTGATAATCTCACTAGCCCTTCCTCTGTCACCTTGCAAGAACCTCGTTCAAAAAGGGATATTAGATCCATTTTTGATTCATTAAGAACTGGGTTTAAATACAATCTAAACATTGATCCATTAAGAACTGATTCATTAAGAAGTGGGTTTAAATACAATCTGAACTTTGGATAAAGAATTTAGACTCACAAAACATTGCCTGGGCTTATTAGCATTTTCTTACTTAGCTCTGGATGGAATAGAAAAATGCATTAAGGTCTGTAATTTAAACCTCAATATAAATATTAGGCAGTACCAGTAGTTTCTCTAATATTAAAATACGGTGAAAAACATGAAGACTAGAATTTGTTTTCTATCTAAAAACAAAGGTTAAATTCACCCTGTGTCAAATTTTACCAGGTAACCAAAAATACTTGTTTTTAAAAACTACTGGTTCAGGATTATTATTTTGCTTTTGTTGTTTTTGTTACTATTTGAATCGGAAATTTTGTGAACCTAGTGGGAATGTCTACCATATTAACTAAAATTAATGATCAAAACAGGAATCCCATGCTAGTGATAGTGAAACACCATGGGTTGGGCCTAGATCCTGTTGCTTACCGTGCAGAAAGCCAATCACTGAGACAATAAATATAGCCAAGGAAGAAGGCTTTAATCAGGTGCTGCAGTGAAGAAGATGGAAGTTTAGTCTCAAATGCGTCTCCCTGACCCACTAAAACTAAGTGTTTATATAGCAAGGAAGGAAATGTAACAATGTGTAATAAAACAATAACTAGGGAGGGGCACCAAAGAAGTCATGATGAACGAGGGGTCAGGCATCTCATTGTCAGGATATGGTGATCTGGTGAGTTTCAGTTCTTTGATACTTTTTTTGAGAGGCCTGAAGGTCCTTTTCTGAGGAAGGAACTCAGATAATACAAATGTAAGCTTCAAGTTTTAAGATCAGAAAGGTCAATTTTTATGTTTATCTAAAAGAAAAGTCTATGGGACTATTGAGTCGGTTTCACTAGGACAAAGATCAAATACCCATTGGGGATTTGAGTGATTTGTACAGTGGCCCCCTTTTATGTGTGGTTTCAATTTCCGCAGTTTTAATTACCTGCAGTTAACCGCAGTCTGAGGATATTAATTGGAAAATTCTAGAAATAAACCACTCTTAAGTTTTACATTTTATGCTTTTCTGAGTAGCATGATAAAATCTTGCACCTTCTTGCTTCATGCTTCCTGAGACATGAATTATCCTTTTGTCCAGTGTATCCATGCTGTCTGTGCTACCCACTTGTTAGTCACTTGTAGCCATCTCAGTTATCAGAGCAACTACCACAGTATAGCAGTGCTTGTATTGAAGTAACATTTATTTTACTCAATAAAAGAGTAAAACTCAAGATAGCAATTTAGATATGTCAAAGAGCAACTATGAAGTGCTTTAAGTGAAAATGTAAAAATTCTTGACTTAATAAAGGAAAAAAATGTATGCTGAGCTTGCTAAAACCTATAGTAAGAACAAATCTATCAGGATAATTGCGAAGAAAGGACAAGAAATTTATGCTAATTTGGCTGTTGTACCTCAAAGTGCAAAAGTTATGGCCATAGTGCATAATAAGTGCTTAGTTAAAATGGAAAAGGCATTATATTTGTGGGTAGAAGACACAAACAGAAAATGTGTTTCAATGAATGGCAATGTGTTGTGCCACAAAGCACTGATCCTAAGGAAGACTTCAGCAAATGATCCCCTCAAACTAATTATGCCAATCCATTTACTGCATGTAAGGGATGGTTACACCGATTCCAGAATATACAGTTCAATAGTAGCCGAAGGCTATATCCTGATGACTGTGTCATTCACTTGACTTCATCTCAACGTGTAGGCATCGTGTCATCTCACATCATCACAAGAAGAAAGGTGAGTAGAGTACAATCAGATATTTTGAGGCTAAGAGTCAGAGACTACATTCACCAACTTTTATTATAGTATATTGCTATAATTTTTCCATTTTATTATTAGTTTATCATAAGTATAAATATATAGCAAAAAACAGTATATATAGGGTTTGTTACTATCTGGGTTTTAAGGCATTCACTAGAGGTCTTGGAATCTACCTTTTGCTGAAAACAGGAGACTGCTGCCTTTCAAAAAACTTTAAGTTAGCAGAATGCACAAGTTAGAGACAAGAAGATAGCTAACATCTGTGTCAGGGTTGATCATGAGCCAGATATAAGGATCAGATTCCAAGATTTGAGAAGAGAAGATACAAATGTGTAAAGCACTCCAGGGATAAGAAATGAGTTTGAAAAATTGAATGTAATGAGAAGTAAGGCAAATAATTCAAAATCTACAATAAAACTTTGAGGAATGGAATTCTAGGAAGATTGTGGCAACAATATAGTTGTCTCATCTCAAACCTAGGTCAGACTTGTAATATAGTAGGTGTTAATCAATAAACGTTGGAAAATAATAAAACATCCTAGACATTCCTACTTATTTCCTATTTTCTTAAGCAGGCATGATTTCATTCAAGTTGTTATGGTTTTTAATTTAATTTGAGAGCTGATCTGGCAAACTCTGAAAATCCTGGAAGAAGCCATCTCTAATTTTAATTCTAGAGTACCTATTGTTGACTCATGTAATCTTAGACAAATTATTAAACTAGCGCTCAGTTTTCCCATTCGTAAATAACAATGAATACAATATAGAAATACAAATAAAGCTGTAGTCTATATTATTCAGTCCTACAAATGGGAATTTCAATCTTAATTCACATATTTCTAAACTATTTAAAGTGGTTCTTATATGTAATTTGTAATAATACTCATTAAAATACCTTTTCTCCTCTTAATTTCTATTATTCTGACACTCCTAGAAGACTTTCCTCTTCATAATGGCAAGAGTGGGTGTGTGAGAAGTAACCACATTCCTGATACATTTTGAAGGTAGAGCCAAAAGAATTGCTGGGGACAAACAATGAGGATGTGACTTACATCCTTGCAGGCCGTGAATGATGCTAAAATTTTTGTTTGAGTAGTTATAAAATAGAGTTGCTATGAAATGGAATTGAAAACTGTGAGAGGTAAAAGTTTGGCAAGGATGTGCCTATCTGTCAAGAGCTCAATTTGGCCATATGAGGTCAAATATTTAATTGGAAAGGTCAAACAGTAAGTTGGATATTTGTATAAAGTTCAAGAGAAAGGTCAGGCTAGAGATTTTTAAAAATAGAATCAGCAACTTTTAAATGACATTTAAAATCATCAGATAGAATGAGATAATAAGATCTTCTTTGGAATGAGTATTGGTAATGCTTCTAGGATTAAGCCTTGGGGTATTCCAAAATTTAAAGACAACTGAGATGAAGAACCAGTATAAGAGACTAACGAGAAATGGCCAATATATTAGGAGACAACCAGGTAAGTGTGGTATAAACCGACTTAAGAGCATGTGTCGACTATTGCTATAAGCCAAGGAATATAAAGTCAAATAAATGGTCAATGAATTTAGCATGTGAAAATCTTTGGAGATCATGATTAAAGCAATTTCAAAAGTGGAGAAGAAGCAAAAACCTAGTTCAAGAGAGAATTAGAAGATGGCAATTGGTGAGAAAATGTAGAACATTATTTTAAAGAGTTTGTCAGTAAATGGAACAAAGCAAATGGTTCAGTAATTAAAGGTCAGATGAGGTCAAGACAGATTGTGGTTTCAATATTTATCCTTGAAAATTTTAAAACACTTTAAGTGATGAAAAAAATTATTGGCAAAGAAAATTGATGATGAAAGAGAAAATGAGAGTTGCTAGAGTGACATCATTGAGTAGATAAGAAGGATGCATCTAAAGCAAAAGCAGAGGTGTCATCATTAGCTAGGATCACAGTAGCATAGAGAATTCACTCAGAGTAGTATAGGAGAGAACTGAGGTAATTCCTGCCTGTGAAATAGGGGAATAGCAATTGTCATGAAAATTGATAAAGTTCCCTACTTACTGCCCCAATTTTTTTAGTGAAGTATAAAGTTCATCAACTAAGATTTTAAAAAATGGGAAAAGGCTGTGTTGATGTCAGAATTGAGGAAAGGACATGAAATAATTCACTAACAGAGTGAAAAATTGAAGGAACCAGGAAATGTGATAGGATTGCCAGGCAGCACTAAGAATCATGCTCCCATGCTCCCGCTTCCCTGAAATTAGTGACAGTGAATTTATGCTGAGAACAGTATGTTTTTGTGATTTGCTCCAACCAAGTTCATTTGTGGTTACAGTCATGATTTAGGCTGAGATGAGACTTGTTCATTGTCAGATCTAGAAGTCGGTCACTGATCAATGAATCTTCAGGCTCAGAGCATGAATAAAGTTATATTGATAATAGGGTATAGGTAACTGGAGAAGTCTCTCAAATGTTAGTTATACAGTAAATATTCACCTACAGAAATTTTATTAGCTATTCAATCTTTTATGAATTCATTTTTTATTCATTCACTCATTCAACCACTATTAAGTATCTACTCTGCTTCACTATACAAAATTTTGGCGACTGAGCAGCAAGCGAGATCACTGATATCATTAAGAAGATACTCAAGCGAGTGTGAATGAGAAGGGAATGAAAACACATTAAATTAGGAATCATGCAATTAATTACACTTGATCTTACCCAAAAGGCCGAGAAGTGATAGAATCATGCGATTTATTATTGAATTTCAATTGTACTAAATAACATTTAAGTGAATTTGCTAGCATGATGAGAAAATACGATGTGAAGAACAGTATTAGTCTGTAAGAGCTGCCATAACAAAATACCACAGATAGGATGGCTTAAAAAACAGAAGTTCATTTGTCACAGTTCTGGAGTCTGAAAGTTTGAGATCAATATGTTTGCAGGCTTAACTTCTCCTGAAACCTTTCTCCTTGGCCTGCAAGGCTTTTCTTCTTGCTTTGCCCACACATGGACATCTGAAGTGTGCATCCCCAGTGTCTCTTTCTCTTCTTATAAGGACACGATCCTATTGGATTAGAACCCCACACTTATGAGCTCACTTAACTTTAATTACCTCTTTAAACATCCTGTCTCCAACTGCAATCACACTGAGAATTAGGACTTCAACATAAGAATGACATGTTTGTTTACTGTTCAGTCAGTGCATAAGAACCAATATACTATTAAATGAAAAAAAAATGCCGTTGGAATCAGAAAATAATTTTCTGAAAAAGTGAAGTTTAAACTGTGCTCTGAAGGATGAGTAGAAGAAGATGCATTTCTCATTCCTGGTGCAAAATTAGGGGGCAGACTCTAAAACCAGCTTCGCCTGATCCCAAATTGCAAGTCCAGAGTTCTCCAAGACCACCCTCAGTTTTGATAATTCACTAGAAGGGCTAAATGAATTAAATAAAAGTTATTATACTCATGAATATGATTTATTATAGTAAAAAATATATATATACTTAAAATCAGCAAATAGAAGAGACACGTAAGGCAGAGCTCCAGGAAGTTTCAAGAGTAGAGCTTCCAGTTGTCGTTTCCCAGGGCAGTCACAGACAATGCTACTTTTCCCAGCAATGTGTGGCAATACACATGAGCTATCACCCTAGTCAGCCCACTTCAGTGTCCAGGAATTTGAATTGATACTTCATGACCTGAAGTCCCCACCCTAGATGACACTGATTGAGTATCTGGTGTGACCCCAGATGCTCAGGCACACAGAGACATTTTATAAGGCGTGACATCTTAAGAATTTAGAAATTATCTCTCAGAAGTAGACAGCAAAGACCAGATCTCTCTTTAAGCAAGGTTAAAAATTCTTTACAACACACCTAGCAAAACATCACTGAGTTACAAAACCCTTAGTTTACATTAAGGTAACTGAGAAACAAAGAGTGACAAAACAATAAAACAGCTGTGGTAGAGTCTAGAAAAGAACATACACCCTTGAGCCATTCTCCTTTGCTAGTCCTTCATTGTATCTCCATCTTTCCAGAGAAATAAAAAAGGTACACTAAAAAGAAAGAATTCACCAAGGTGAAGCAGAGCTAGCTGCAAATTATAAATTATATATGTATATAGTGTGTGTATGTGATATATACATACATATATAATTATTACGTATAGATGCATATTTTGAAAGAGAAGTCAGGAAAATTAGAGAGAACATTATTCCCTTCTCCTAGCTTCAAAACAGTAAAAAAAAAATCTTCATTGCATTTTTTAGATTATTAATTGGGAGAAAAAGAGAGCAGGAAATGAGTACCAGCGTATTTCATACTGAGATCGTGAATATGAGGAACTAGAAAATGCCTTTTATGGATTAAAGGTGTTGGAATTGGTTTTGAAGTGGAGGTGTTTATCTGAGATTCATTTAGCCAAAAATGTATGCCTGTTAGTAGTAGAATAGAAGAGGATAGAATTTTATAGGTAATAATGCATAATTTGATTTTTGTTTTTGGAAATACTTGTTTCCTATATGGTAAATCTTGGTATCTAATTTTAAGAGAAAATATGTTAAGAGCAGAAATAGCATTCTAGCAGAATTAATCTTTGGGTGTGCACCATCACAACAAATTTTTTTTTTACAGAATGCCTGTTTGCACACATAATTTAATTTGAAAATGCTACACAAAATTTTGGGGTCCATGTGAGGAATTGCTATGTGTCAGGGAAGATTTAGAATGAGTATGGAAGAGGTATATTACATATTAGTTTGTTGTTCAGTCCGTGCATGTTAAGATTCTTCATAGAGCCTGGAAACAAATGCCTGATCCTCACAAATTTCAGGTCTTGCCACTATTTGAAAAAGTCAGGAATGCTTTTATTACTCATAAGGTCATGGTTCCTCAGAACCTGTTTTTATTGAAACAATATATAGTTTGCCTTTGCAGTTTTAGCCATTTTCTTTATTGCTGATTTTGTCATTACTACTGATGCTGCACCATCGTGCTGCCTGTGAAGGAAGGTTTTAATGATTCTCTTGATTGTTACCGTGAGGTGTTGGTGATGACCACAAATATAAGTCTTATCCAGAATATGAAGGAAAATGTGAATGATAATTTGTTTCTGCTCATGTCAAACTTATGGCTAGGAATTTTACAGCATAAAGATTGAACAACACCTCCAACCATTTATTGAACTCTCAGGCATTAATCACCACCTTCCTAGAATGTGATCTATTTTAGTTCAACTATTGTTCTCCCATCTATGCACTACTACAAGACGTGAGGGCAATAGAGGAGCCTGCAGTTTGAGCAAGAAGAGTAGTCTCATTCAAAGACTGTCATCCCTTCTTTTGCAGAGCTTAAGACCAACCAGGGAGAGTATAAAATCACTACATCCATTAGAGGCAAGAGAAGACACTGACTAATCTAAAGGTCCCATTAGCATTTCAAAATGAGAAGCAAGAATCTGGAAAATTCCCAGAAAATAAGCTTACTCATCCTTAGGACCACCTGACAAATGGAGGAAGGTAGGGAATGGAATAGAATGAGTGGAGAAAAGGTATATTACATTCTTGTTTATAGTCCAACCAGTGCATGTGACAGTTCTTCATAGAGCCTAACTACCAGCAGGTGGAGAAGGAATGTGGTTCTCTCGAGTGTTGTAGGCTGGAGTTGACACTGCTATGGAAATACAGATGTGCTAGAAGTCCCCATTCCATGGAACCAAACATGCAGCTCAAGTCCAAGGACCAGCAGTGAACTATAAGTAGCTCTAAGCTCTGAACTCTTTCTCTGTCAGATTTAGGTAAAAGTTGCCCAATATCAGATTGTCAGTACCATTTTGGCAGCCTTATCTTTCATTATCTTGCACAAGAAATTCTGTGGCAACCAGCAAGCGTGATCTACCCACCATACCTTTTGCCCAACCAGGGGCCTTGGTCTAGGGTCCCTTTAAGCATGAATCTCAGAACTTCCAGAGACATCTGGTTAACAGTAGGCATTCTTTGGAAGGCTAGAGGGTCAGAAGATTGCCTAAAGGAAAGAAACCACATCAGTACCTACTCAGGTCCAGTCAGAAACTGGGATTCTTCACTCAGTAGCCCTCCTAGCCCAGACAAGTACAAGGCAGCAGAAGAGAACTTTGAAAAAATTCTACAAAAGCACTCCAAAATACAGAGGTGTTCAGGAAACACGGTGTGGAGCAGGATCCAGGATCCCTAATCAGTGTATATACATCTTTGTGTACAGTTGTATGCACACTATCTGCAGAAAAAATGAGAATATGTGAAACTGCTGCATCAAAGTATATGTGGATTTTTAATGTTTATTCACAGCTAGGCTGTGCTGCCTGTTTCCCACAATGGGCCTACAACTCATCATTGCTCTATAATTGAAAAAAGGCAACATGTAATTATAAAAAAAATTCATAGGGAAATTTATTTATATTATCCTCATTCCCAAAGTGTTAAATATTTTTGATAAGTTTGTTGTATTTTTGTACTTTCTCTCCTGTGATTTAATTTTTATAACCATCGTTTAACTTTCTTTAGGATTATTCATATCTGTAAACAATTTTACACAATCTTTGTGTATATTTTTATGTCTACTCTTGGCTTTTATATGTTGCAAATGTTTTATTCAAACTCTGCTTGTTTGGGGATCATAAAAAATTATACATTTGTACATAGTTAAATTGTATCATCTATTATATGGTTTCTAAAGCATTTTTCTTGCTTAAAAACACCTTTCCTGTGAGAAGATCATAAAATGTTTCTCTATATATTTTTCAATATATTTTATATAAACATGCATATATATATGTGTGTAAATATATTTTTCTGCATGTGATAGTTTTCACATTTAGGTATATAAATAGTTCTGAGGACTGAATTCCACTTTTGCAAACCTGTTCCTGAGACTGGTCCTAGGAATTCAACAGTTCCTTACATAAACAGCCATTGAATAATTTGCAATGTTCCAAGTTGCTTGGTTTGTCAATTAAACATAATGAGCTTTATTACATTTTTTAATCTTTAATTAAAAAAACATTTTTCTTACCATCTAAAAGCAGAAACATTTAATGTCTGTGAATTGGGCATTTTATTTTAACTTCTCTTTAGTGGGCCATGGTAATCACTACCCCTAAGTACTTCCAGTCATATTTTGCTTTGCTTTGCTTTGCTTGGGTATTCTTTTTTAAGACCTGGAAGTAACAAAATATGACTTGGATCTCTTGCTAAACATACTCTTTTTCATAACTATAGCTAAAATAATCTCCTTAAAGAACATCCAAATAATCCATTTTTTTATTAAAATGACTTACTACTTATTGCGAGTGTCATCATTCGGCATTTTGCAAACACAGAATTTTTATCTGCCTGTATATGTGTGTGAATGTGTGTTTGTGTGCTTATTGTGAAATTCTCTTATACCTCAGTGTCCCTAATATCTACATTGCATGCAAGAGACAACAAAGAATTATTTATTTCAGTAATGATGAGGGAGGTTTTTGCAATAACAACAGATCAGGGGGATCTGTAACTAAAGTCACAAATTAGGAGACAATAATTTATATTGCTGCTTTTTTTTTTTTTTTTTTTTGAGACAGAGTCTCACCCTGACGCCCAGGCTGGAGAGCAGTGGCGCGATCTTAGCTCACTGCAAGCTCCGCCTCCAGGGTTCACGCCATTCTCCTGCCTCAGCCTCTGGGAGTAGCTGGGACTACAGGGGCCCGCCACCACGCCCGGATAATTTTTTTCTATTTTTTAGTAGAGACGGGGTTTCACCGTGTTAGCCGGGACGGTCTTAATCTCCTGACCTAGTTATCCGCCAGCCTCGGCCTCCCAAAGTGCTGGAATTACGGGTGTGAGTATATTGCTTTTTAAATTCACTAGTTTATTCATTATGTATAGCTATTTAAAAAAGAGAAAAACTGTCCTGGCTAACACGGTGAAACCCCGTTTCTACTAAAAATACAAAAAATTAGCCGGCCTGGTGGCGGGTGCCTGTAGTACCACCTACTCTGGAGGCTGAGGCAGGAGAATGGCGTGAACCCGGGAGGCAGAGCTTGCAGTGAGTCGCGATCGCGCCACTGAACTCCAGCCTGGGTGACAGAACGAGACTCCGTCTCAAAAAAAAAAAAAAAAAAAAAAAAAAGAGAGAGAGAGAGAGAGAGAGAGAAACTAAATCAAAAGCAAAGATTAAATTCTCATGCTTCTACTTTTCAGACCTTCAATAGGAGATTCTCAGTGGCATGCACTTCCTAGACAACCAGTTATTAAAAAGATAATTATATACTATGGATATCATAACCCTTTATATCCCAAGATAAAAGAAAAGTAATGTCCTGCATTTTTGCCCCAGGCACTGCTAAACAGGAGTGTTAACTTTTGATAAACCCCAGTTTCTAAATTCGTACAACTGCATGGAGAGAAGTATAAAAAGATGTGCTCTCCACCTTTCTCTTATTCAAACACTGCAGAGCTGCTAATTCGGCTGACTGTCTTCAATCATGAAGATTCACGTCTTTCTCTTTGTTTTATTTTTCTTTCTGGTCCCCATTGCCACCAGGTAAAATGTAAATATTGAGAGGGTAAAATATCTTTCTGGAGAGTTGCATTTTGGTCGATGTCAACTGGAGACACAAGAGTGACCAGATTGTTAAGAGAGTGGTTGGTTACGGTCCCAAGAGTAAATCACAAATAAAGGACTGTGGTCTTACTAAACAGTAAGGCTCCGGGTGAGTCATATTATTGTATGAGACAATTTAAAGGCCTTGATTAAATGACTACAGGCTGGTTGTCCAGACTGACTACTTGGATAGAATATTAAAGTATAACCATCTGGATCCTTGAGACATTGATGGGCACTGTGTAGTAGAGTAACAGTTGGTTTTTCAGTAACCTCATGATAGGTTTGGTTATATTATGTCACAAGGTTTACTTTGAGAAAAACACAAAATGGTGTTTTCAACTGATTAAGAATTGAGAACTTCAGTGGCTGTATTACCTCAGGTCCAATTACATAGCAATTAATACTAACCAGATAATTAAATGAGTATAAACTTTGGAATAATTGATACCTGGGTTCAGATTTGGCTTTTGCCATGTATTGGCTATGCAAATCTATCAGGTTATTTACACTCATTCAGCATCAATTTCCTCATTTGCGAATTAAATACAGTAATTAAGTCTATCTGTAGTATTATGACGATTAATGATATTTAAATATACAAAATGCCCAACATAAAGTATAATACACATCAGATTCATCTTAAATAGTATTATAATTACTTTTACATTGTATTAAAACACCTTAAAAAGCAAGTAACATCTAGAAATCTCATCGAGAAACTCTTTCTTGACAACTATTGCAGGAAACAGGGGAGGTAATATTTACCATGTTGGATTTCACATACTTAAACTGTGTACCCTCATTTGTAAACTTTCATTGTACACACTACTATTAGATTAGATCAATAGCCAAAGGAAGTATCTTGATGGAGATCATCGAAAGAGCTGTTTTAACACATTTCAGGGTACTTATGATAGGAAAAGTATTTTTCTTATTTATGTAAAGACCCTGTAAACAATCATTTTACACACACCCAAGAAAATAATTCCACTCACCTTAAGAAAATAAAACAAACAAAAAAATAATAACTATAGGGCATTCTGATTTAGGAGTGGTCTAGAACTGCAAGAGTTTCCTCTTTGAAGTCCAACTTCATTCCTTAGCAGCACAGATGAGACCAAGGAAGTCTAGCTCTAACAATAAGTCTGGCTGTGAGTAAACTCAAACATCTAAGTATTTTGGATAAAAGACTCAAATCATTTTAATTGTTTTATAATTCAAGTAAAATATGTCAGATGATAATTTTGAGGATTGTTATTTTATTACATCATTCTAAACTCAAGACTAATGGAATTACAATCAGGGTTTGTTTTTACTAAAACCATATGGGGGTGATCTTAAAATAAAGAAGACTTATTTAGTGCAACCACATTTGGATAATAAAATTAGCTCCAGTTATGTTATCATGATTTACATGTGTGCCTCATGTCACTTGCTTTGGGAAAAAAGGTGAAAATTTTCATGACATTTTCAGTTTCATTATAAACCCAAGAGACATTATGAATGTATGTGCATAGATTCATCTAAAAATTGAGAAATTTGTGATTCCTTCTTGTACATAAATAAATTTTTATGTTATACATAGCTGTTATCTAGAGAGAAGCTGTTTGTTGTTTTTGTTACTAGTGGAAAAATGCTAATTTACAATTCCCACTTAAATAATGCTATTCTTTTTTTAATACTAGTGTTTGACAGCTGTCATCTTCTATTATTTGTAAATTCCAATTAAGTCAACATACATGCTTCACACCCATCATGTAGGACAGTGTAATCTGAGGATGCATTTTTAAGCTGGCAAGATAATGCTTTTTCCCTCTGGCATCAAAGGCAATAAATAGCATCTCTCTAGATAATACAAATAAAGAGATATCTATCATTAATTTATACAGTGAAAAAGCATATCTCGTTGCCTAAAATATTTGGCAAAAAATTCAAAATAATATGTTCAATTTTTTCCTAAAATGTCTAGTTACTCCAAGTAACAGTAAGACTGTATGCTAACATAACTTCACTGAAAGCAGATGACATGAATTGGGTTATCAGTACCTTTGACTCCATCTCAGTTGGATCCTATATGTTGAGCACCTAGAGAAAGAGCACCTTTCACATACCTTTGTCACTGATATTTGATAATTTACCATTACATTTAATGCTTTAACTTTGGGCGTCTTCCTCCTTATGTGACCTTTCTAAAAATTTAAACATTTTGTGAAGAGATGAAACATTAAGTCTTATGGCCAGATGTAGATGAGTTCATCAGCTGGTATATGCTATGATGATGCAATCCTGAGAACTTTATAAAGGAGAAGACTCTGAAACAAGGAAACATACGGAGATGCTGAGAGATACTACCTCTTTCTCTTTGAACTTAAGGCTTGTCATTCATGACAACACTCATCCCCCCAGCAAACCAGGCTCCTGCCTAGGCTCAAATCTTTGTGAATATTCAAAGAACCTCTCTTATCCCAGTATCTGCTAGGGTTTTTTTCACTCTTCTAATAAAAGAGATTTATAAAAAATATTCGAGCAAGATAGCAATTGAAGCAACATTAATGAATCTTCCCATTTTAAATCCTGAAACCAAAAATGTTTAAATGTTTAATTTTTTTTTTGAAATTGGAGAAAAAAGCCTTTGGGAGGTGATGGGATCATAGATATTTGTATATGCCCAAATTCATCATTTGTACACATTAAATATGTGCAGTTCTTTTTATAGCAACTATACCTCAATAAAGTTGTTTTTTTAAAAAAATCATGTTAGGTGGGTAGTAGGTAAGTAGCCATAGAAATATGTGGTGTTCATTCCAGAACTACTTGAAATCTAACAATTTTTATTTAGAAATTCTCAGGGAAAACTAAGCTTTAACAACTAGTGGATCAAGCCAGAAGTTGGAGAGGAAACTGAGAATGAAACAGAAAGTATCACAGAACAATCATCACCAGAAAAATACAAAACAAATGACTTCCCAAATCCCTACCCCAGAATGCAAGGGCTATACTTATTTTCACATTGACAACTGATTTATCCCAAGGTGGGACCTTAAGACACTTATAGTGACTCAATGGTTTATGTGCTTTCTTTTTCCCCTTTTAACAGTGAAATGTGCCGTGAAAGACACCTATAGTTGCTTTATCATGAGAGGCAAATGTCGACATGAGTGTCATGATTTTGAAAAACCAATTGGTTTCTGCACAAAACTAAATGCCAACTGTTATATGTAGAAGTTTGAAATAAAAATCAGCATCCCTCAAAAGTAAAGCACAGTGAGTACAAGGATTAGTAATAAAAGAAACTGAATTACCAACCACTGTCCAGTCTGTGATGTCCTCTTGGTTATATAGCATCATTTGAGGAGCTACGTTTTCTCCTAAGGGTCAGAGAGTAGTGGGAGACATTCAGTATATAAAGCAGCTCTGTGGAAACATTTCAGCATTTTGAATATCAATTTTCTACTAATTAGCAGAAGAAAGTTAATGACACAAGGAAGTCTAAATGACACACATAATTATTATCAGGAGTCCTCAAATCAAAGGTACCCAAACTAATAGGAGTTTAGAGAGATCAAAGAGAAGGAACAAATAGTACTTTCATCATGACATGGATCAAGAGATCTGATTCACTGCAAGCAGGAAGCCATAGCATCAGTTCAGTCCTTCATGTTTTTTTGTATTTGTTTTCTTGAACAACAAATTTTAAAACATAGGCCATAGATGAAAGTAAGGTGTAGGTGTATTGCAACTGAAACTGGAAACTGTAGAGGTCTGATGAAAAATGGAGATGTCTTATAACTAGTATCTACTGAATAGGAAATGCAGAATTCTGTGTGATTAGTACAAAAATAATTAAATCACAAAAATCATTAGGAACTGTACCGATAGTAATATCATCTTTATAGCTAATACTAACGTAAAGCTTCAAAACACTTTGAGATACAGAAATGTTTTTGATGATCACAGAATGTCTGTGAGGTAATACAATGTCCATGAAACATATAAGATAACTTCAAGACACAGATCCTGGAACCAAATTCCCAGAGTTCTAGTTTTGAGAGCAAACACTGTGTAAATGTTTATTAGATTAACCTGATTTGTTAAATGATGTTTAGAAAGTTTGTGAGGTCATACAGCTATTTAATAAATCATACAGATTGATAACTTAAGCTCTATCTTACAATGAACACAAGTCTGAACAACAAATTATACAGATTGACAACTTAAGCTCTGTCTTAACACTGAACACAAGTCTGAACACTCCCTTACTTCAAAATCATCACAGGGAGCTTGAGGAAAAGGGTAAAGTAAATACTGAGTTGAAAACGGAGGCCACATCTGAAACTAAAGAATAGACATAAGAAACGGGAAATAGGCAACCAGGGATGGTTTGATTGCCTAAATGTCCACATTTGACAACTAGCACAGGTTAATAAGCTGCTGAGATAAACTTCTAATTAGATTGATCTGACAGTCAAGTAATAGATTGCTCAAAGTTTCATTCCTTCTCTCTTTAATCACTTTCTCTTACACACAAAACTTTCCAGATTAATTATAGCAACTGAGAATTTTATAAGAAAATAGAAAGGATGTAACTCCTCAAGCTTGTATAATTAGCTTTCAAACCAATTTTTTAACTGAGTTTATAATCCACAGAAGCAAAAACTTACTCTGTAGCCTACAGCATTAATTCCTAAATCTTTTTGAATAAAGACCACTTTTACAGTCAAGAAACAACAGATGCTGGTGAGATTGCAGAGAAAAAGGAACACTTTTACACTGTTGGTGGGCGTGTAAGTGAGTTCAGCCATTGTGGAAGACAGTGTGCTGATTCCTCAAAGATCTAGAAAAAGAAATACCAATTGACCCAGCAATCTCATTACTGGGTATACATGCAAAGGAATATGTCATTCTATATAAAGTTACATGCACACGTATGTTCATTGCAGCACTATTTACAATAGCAAATACATGGAATCAACCCAAATGACCATCAATGATAGACTGGATAAAGAAAATGTGGTACATACACACCATGGAATACTACGCAGCTATAAAAAAGAATGAGATCATGTTCTTTGCAGTGACATGAATGGAGATGGAAGGTTTATCCTCAGCAAACTAATACAGAAACAGAAAACCCAACACTGCACGTTCTCCCTTATAAGTGGGAACTGAATGATGAGAACACATGGACACATGTGGGGGAACAACACACACTGAGGCCTCTTGGAGGGTGGAGGGAGGGACCATATCAGAAAAAATAGCTAATGGATACTGGGCTTAATACCTGGGTGATGGGTTGATTTGTGCAGCAAACCACCATGGCACATGTTTACCTGTGTAATAAAACTGTACCTCCTGCACATGTACTCTGGAACTTAAAATACAAGTTGAAGACAAGAAAAAAAAAAAAAAGATCGCTTTTACACAGAATGTCATGGTTCTTCTGTAGGAGAGTCATTGCAGTTGTAGGATCTAAAAAGTTTAAGGAACTACAGAATGACCAGAAAATAATCTACATGTGAACACAAATACACACGTGTGTGCATATAGATATGCCAGGTACGTAAGTAGGTAGATAGATATCACAAGTTTTTATTCATTTACTCTACAGATAATGTTTTTGTGCATTTACACTCACCAATCACTTCCAATCAGCTTCCTGCTGGATCTTAGCAAACAAATTGGGTGCCGTTGGCATAGATAGTTTTAGAAAATGTCCATAAACTCAATATCTCTCAATAAGAGTCATTGGGGCACATGAGAATATAAAATGTTGTTTTCTTAATCTGTATTATAAAATAAGTCATTTTCACTAAGTTTATCAACACTATCAGTCTTATTCAAGTAGTCAGCCAAGCTGGCTCTATTCTAGTTCTGAAGTCGGAACCGAAGCACATTACCATGAGGCTGAAAAAAGCCATCACTTAACTGAGAAACTGGCCACTTTACTGTGAAATGTTTATTACTGATATCTGATTAATAGATTATCTACATAACCCAATGACAGCTACTAAAGAATATTATCAATGCCAATTGTGAGAAAAGTTAGATAAGTGGTAGTGATCTTCTACTTAAGTCAAATGATCCCATTTCTGTCTATCTCAACTGAAATTTTATTTTCTGGGTATCTTGTTTTGTCTGTTGCTAGTAGAAACTTTAACAGGTTTCAATAAATCTGAGTCTCAAATTAGAAGGTATTAGAATTTAGTTGCTTCTCTCTCAGAAAGTCACAAGGATCCTTTTGCTGTCTTTGGCTGTACTGTGTTGGTCAGCATTCAATGTCAATTATTCTAAAGAAAAAATAAAAGAGAAAAAATAATAAAATTGTCCTTATATCACCCAGAAAAAAACTCATTAAATAGGCCACCAGTATGGTCATAAGATAAATAAATGAAATAGGGTAAGATACATTGGCCTTGCCAATTTGCCAATTTATTAAATTATCAAATGACCAGGCTGACAAGCCACAAGTTGAGAAAACAGAAACCTTATAAATCAAAAGCTACTGTTTTTAGCAGATGAGAAGACCAAAATAAACGTGAAATATTTGCCACATTTAGAGACAGGGGGAGCCAGAAATTAACTAAGCCCCTCTTTAACATAAATGCCAATTAAATGATTTCTTATTTTTAACTAGTTATGGAAAGTAAGCATATAAACTCAAATTATCTTCACTTTTTATGTCTCTCAGTTTCCATTTAATTACATTTCAACTTTCATTTAAAGATGTAAAAGTGCAATGGAGCCTCACAATGTAATATTAACTTTCTGCTAGCCAAGTTAAAAAGAAAAAAAAATAGCTGGATAGCTTCTATTTTCTAAATTTAAAAATAAGCTTTAAATTTTTATAATCCTAAAGTTACATGCAATTTTATAAAAGTGAGAAATTGAAATGCTGGCAACTACCATAGCAATTAAGAGCATCTTGCAAAATTCTCCATTTGAGAACTGGGGCAGTGATGAATCGGAGACTTTCTCAAGGTTCGGAAATATATATGACCAGAGCCTCAATTCATAGGCTCTGAGAACAAAGAAAGAGGCTTGACTTTCATTTCCACCTAGGTGTTTTGGTGTCCCCTGCCAGGGGGGTATTTTCTATCTGACAACACCTTGAGTCATAAAGAATCTTATTCTGGATGTTTTCTTCTTAGATATTTGGTACATGAGAAGCAGAAAAGAAGTAGGAGGGAAATCTTGGCAAGCATTAAAGACTTTCGAAGAAAGGTGGACTTCAGCTCTCAGAGCTGGAACTTGAAGAACAAATACAACTGGGTCATCCTTCTTGGTAATTTCAGGGATTAAATTAACTCCAGCAGCTCAATGTTAGCTGTTCTTAAGTCTGAAAATAATTTATATTAAATAGTGAATATATAAGCCTCTTATCTAATGCAAAAGGTGGAGAAAATGGATTTAATTGGCTTCCTATTGTCCACAGGGTAATGAAGAAAACCAGCATAGAGGCAAATAAATCAGTCAGGGGCCACGACATGGGATGGAGAATGCTTAGTAGATGTGGACATAGGGAGAAGCTGCTGGAAGGCTATTGCAATGATCCAGGGTACAGGGATAAGTATCTGATTTAAGAGAATCAGAAGGCCAGATTTGACACATTTTAGCAAGTGTTTTATTCTTAAATTATACTCTACATATTAAGTAACACAGATACTAGTACAACTCTAAGAGAAATTCACATTATGTTATGTTTCCACTTTTCAGTTTTAACTTGGAAGTGTATAAATAAGTAGATGCCCCCTTTATAGAATGGAAGAGAAAAGAGCTTATTCTTCTAATTAACTTTATCAGTACTTTCGAGTTTCCAAGGATGAAGGTGAAACCACCGAGTGTTTGATTTTTATGAGGTCTTGGCCAATTTTAGAATTAATAGGATATAAAAGAAGCTCTAAAATCTTTCCTGAAATCTTTCACAAGTTTTCCATTGTCCTCAGGATGTAATGCAGGCCTTTTAACCAGTCTTAAAAATCTACTCCTCACCTTACATGTGATAGTTCAGTTATAGCCAATTTGTTTTATAGCTACAACTTTTCACTTCCCTCCAATCTTTTACACATGCAATTCTCTTTTCCTAGAGCATCCTTCATCTTTCCTCAACTGGCTAACTTGTCTTTCAAGTCATATCTCAGAAACCATCACCTATGAGAAAATATTATGTATCTTTCTCCCCACTCCAAGTGATCCACCTAATTATTCTATAACATCACTATAGCTCAGAACTGTAGTTGTCTATTTAAGTATTTTATATTTGTGTGACACATTAGGCTATAAGATTCATAAAGGTGAAAACTCAACTTCTTATTTATTATGGTATTCTCAATATCCAGTGTCTCTTCTGAAATAATTTGTCAGTAAAAATTTATGGAATAGGCCGGGCACGGTGGCTCATGCCTGTAATCCCAGCACTTTGGGAGGTCAAGGCAGGTGGATCACGAGGTCAGGAGATAGAGACCATCTTGGCTAACACGGAGAAACCCCGTCTCTACTAAAAAAATACAAAAAAATTAGCCGGGCATGGTGGCAGGCACCTGTAGTCTCAGCTACTCGGGAGGCTGAGGCAGGAGAACGGCCTGAACCCGGGAGGCGGAGCTTGCAGTGAGCTGGGATCACGCCACTGTACTCCAGCCTGGGCGACAGAGCAAGACTCCATCACAAAAAAAAAAAAAAAAATTATGGAATAAATAAATGAATAAATGAGGGAGATGGACATACTGTGAGAGGGAAGAAGAATGGAATAAAATATAAATGTAACATTTACACCAAACCCAAAAACCAGATCAATATCCAGGCCCAAAGTTACTAACAATGATTCAACTGTCTTGTGCAGCCTATTTCTATCTGCAAAGAATACAGTTGCTTCCTTAGCAAGGATATAAACAGACTTTGGTGTCTAATTGAGATAGGAGATTAACAGGACTTGCTTTTCAGACCAGTTACAACCTGGCTGATCAAAATAGGATGCAGCGAAGAAACTGGCCAAAACAAGCTAGAACCAAAATGGCAACAAAAGTGTCCTCTAATTACTCTCACTGTTTGTTTTCATTTGCACGCTCTAAGATACTACCATCAGCGCCATGACAGTTTACAAATGTTGCCATGGCAACAATCTGGAAGTTACTTTTATGGTTCCAGGAATGCCTCACCTCTTTTCCAGGAAGTTCATGAATAACCCACCACTTACTTAGCAAATAATTAAGAATAGGTATAAATATAGCTAGCCAGCAATCCACAAGTGTTACTCTGTGCCACTCTGCCTGTGGGAAAGCCCTGCTCTGTCTATGGAGCAGCTATTTTGCTGTACACTGTTGTTCTAATAAACTTGTTTTCTTTCACTGTCTGCTCGTTCTTAAATTTTTTTTCTGAGCAAAGTCAAGAACCCCTCTGGGGTAAGCCCCAATTTTGGGGTTCACCTTCATCATAATCAAAGCATGAATATTACTGTCCTGTCTCCTGGCATATCTTTTTTATACCTACATACTGCAAACACACCTGGAAGTGAACAAGCTTACTGTGAAAGGCAGAAGAAAAAGTTTAGCATTTTTCTGATCCTAGCTCATGTACATACTCAGTATTTCAATGAACAAAATAACACCACCAGTGAACGTGCACTGCCCCTGTGCATATGTGTTGATGACTTAGGCATTGATTGAGGACCCAGTACTTTCATTGTGTTTCTAACAGTAGTAGAAAGTAGTGACTAAGAAGCTAGAAGTTTCTCTGGGGCAAGAGATTTCTGTAGGAGTAGATAAGTCAAAAAGGTGAGAAAAGATTCATAGATATTAATTCTTCATGCTTTAAAATTTGATTGCCCGGGTTTGAATCCTAGCTTCACTATATTCTTAGCTATGGAATTTGAACAAAATCGCAAGCTCTCCAAACCTCAGTGTCCTCATCTATAAAACAGAAAGAGCACTTACTGCATGTTTGATATGTTTAATATGAAGGTCAAATGAAATAATCCAAGTACAATTTATATGCAGTGTCTAGTGTGCTAATAATGTTAAAATAATAATTATCATAATTATATCAATAATACTATAAGTGTTTACTGTTTCAAATCTGCATAGTGTATATGTGTGCAGAGGTCACCTGGTAGTAAGAAATCAAATCATCTGTAGAAAGATGAAAATGAGTAAAATCTTCAAATATGGATAGGATTGAAAAATCTCAAGGAAGTTTTCCTAAGGCAAATAATCATCCTGGGATAATTCAACCTTTTAGTTTCTACTTTGTTTCTTGTCTATGCTCTGAGGAAGGAGGTAAGCTAGTACTAGTATAATTTGCTCAGATGACCTAGAAGCATTAGAAAATTTGACATAGTAATAAAAAGTTTATGGATTGTATAAGAAGGCCAGGATAACTTAGTTACAATGGTCAAGGCCACACAACTTTAACTATAAGGTACAAGGTGGTTCACAAGTCATAATCTATCTGCTTCTTCTTGGAGAAGGAAGAAAAAACAGCAAGCCAAAATAATAAATTACTACATTAACTGTGTTTATATAAACAAATATTTAAATTTAAAATGCTTCTACAAGGTTAAATCTTTTGGCAAATGCAGCGATAATGATAAAAATCATTACAGGCAGGAGAAAAAAGCTTTAGTGTTCTACACCACTGTAGGATGACTATAGTTAACAATAACGTATTATGTAGTTTCAAATGCTAGAAGTACATTCCCAACACAAAGAAATAATAAACGTTTGAGAGGATGAATATGATAATTACTTTGATCTGATCACTACATTATATGTATTGAAACATTACAATGTACCCTATGAATATGTACAATTATTATTTGTCAAATAAAAATATAAATAAATAATTTCCAAAACAAATTACTGCTTATTTCCTACCCATTTTATTTCCAAACATAATTAACTGTGTAGGTCTGGTGTGTCATAATAGAATCATAAACACATCTAAGGTTCCCAGGAGTACATGGTTGATTGACTTTTTCCAGATATTTTCTTATGTAATTATATCTACTACCACTAATTAAATCAAATGCAATGAATCCAAAATCTGTAGCTCTAACCTTCATTTTCTTTTTCAACACAAGATGCAACTATGGTTATTGGATATCTCTTATGAAAATTCTGTAGATTCTTTAAACTGAACACTACCAGAATAATTCTTTTCTCTCTTCTCACCTCTTATAAACTGACTTCTCCTATATTGCCTATGAGCATTGCAGGCATCACATTCCACCTAAAGGACAGGAATGCTCTCTCATCCTCTTCTGTAAGTACATTTATTCCAGTTCCTAAATAGTTCTTGAAAAATGCTCTTTCCATTCTTGCTGACACTGCATTGATCAAGCTCCCACTGTTCCCTCTGCCTGCCCCATATTCATGAAAAATGCTTAGAATAATGTCTGCCTTTCAGGCAAGTCCCTACCCAAGTTTAGAAAATGTCAATAAGAACCAAATCCATCACCACATATCAGTGTCTGTGCTAGGCACTAAGTGGCACTCCAATGCTGAATAGAAGAGACTATAGGTTTCAAGAAGTCTGTAACCATTAAACATGTATATATTAGTATGATCAGTGCCCAAATCACATAAATCCAGGTTCTAACCTTTCCTTGAGGTAAAGTGTTCATGGAAAACTGTATTGAGAAAATGGCATTTAAATTAGGATGTAAGAAATGAGGAAAGATATGTAGAATATGTGTATGTAATAGGGGAGCAGGGAAGGTTGGGGGTGGGGGGTAATTTTGAGATGTTTCCAGTAAATGGAGCAAGTAAATATGTAAAAGTCCTAAGGCATTAAAGAGCAAAGGCATATTATATATAACAGAGAAAGTTTAGTATGGTTGGAAAGGAAAGCAAAGGTGGTACAGAAAGAAGCTAAAGATGGAAGTTTAGGTGGGCCAAAGTCATGAAGGATCATGCTGAGTATATGGGGAATTTATCCTGAAGGGGGAAAAAAGGAAGTCTAAATGGGAGGCTCCCTTACTATAGCCTCATTCTATTTTCGTCCCATAATTTCTGCCATGGCTGTATTTCAGCCTTAAGCTTCCTTTTTGCTATTTTTAAATTATCTTGACTATTAACTAACAGTCCTCACCTATTTCCTAAAATTACTGCTGAGTTGCAATTTCATGACCTGGAATTTTCCAACAAATATTTCTTTCCTTCATGCCAACCTTGGTCTCTGATTTTAAAATCCAGATGAAATCTGGATATATCATATTTCCTTGTCATGATATTTGGACCACGGAGATCCACATGTTCTTAATGGGGAGGTGAATTGTCTGGACTCCTCATTCCCTCCAGTGCCACATGGCTAGCACTTCTGAATACATGACATTTGTCCTCCCTGATTAGCTGTCAGGGATTAGTTGTAATAGTCTGTTGTCATAGCCTGTTATTCACTGCTTACTCCAGTAAATTACTGTGTATTGTAATTTCACACCTTCACCAGAATAACATTTAGAAAAGAAAATTTGTAAAATCACCCTAATTTTTAAACATGCTGATGATTCCTCATGCTTATAGAATACTGACTCTTCCAGTGTCACCATGACCTATTCTTCCTAATCCTCTTATCAACTTTCCACATCTAGTGACACTCATAACTCCAAGACTTTGCTTACTGAGTTATATTTTAATAATTTTCTTTATTTTTGGTCTATAAAATTGCTCATTCTTCAAAACGCATGACTGTTGTCCTCTATAAAGCCTTTCCTACTTTTTTATCTTTGGGTTAAATAATTTCCATAATATATCATGATACTTACAAACCACTTAAAAATATTTTCAGGATGCAGCAATGGTTGTGTTACACTCTTTGTAGTTATAACATAAAAACTTACTCCTCATTCTGTTTTACACACTGAAATTAAAATTTTGAATTTAGACTTCCAAAATAGTACACTGATAAGAGAAATATTAAAACAAAACACTTAGTGGTTAAAAAGCAGATATTTATGGGATCCTGAAGGTAATCTGATTAACTGGAATTTTATTATACAAAACCTTGGTAAATGTATATACTTATATATTAACTTTGAAATATACTGCTTTCTATGTGCTCCCCTAGCCACATGGACAGACATTTTCACACACACACATGCATGCACTTTTTCTGAGCTGTCTCCTTATGAGTTTTTCTCTGGCACAAGATTAAAATTTAAAATAGAAAGATAGAAAGTGTGTTTGAGTAATTTCACTGTCCTTCCATATTTGGCTAGTAAGTAGTTATTGAATAAATTAATAGAACCACTACAATATTCATCATAAGACCGTAATCCAAATAAAAGATGCATTACATATTCACCTATATATATTCACTTTATAGTGATTATTTGGTTGGAATACTCCTAATAAGTATATCAAGCTATATATTTAGATCAAATTTTGAAAAATTACCTCTGCAAAGTCTACTATGGATATATTTGAGAGATACCACCCTTCCCGTATTTAGATTGAGTAGGAGGGTTATAGAGGAAAAAATGATATCTCTAGAACATACTTCTTTCTCAGCCGATACATTTCATCTCTTTTGACAGAAAATATAACATTTTTAGACTATCACTTCAGAATATCTTTTAAGGAAATTATATGACTCTGCTCTAGGTTCTTAATCTTACCAGTATGGATCAAATACAAATAAATTATATTTGCCAGTCGTCTTATACCCACTATCACTCTTTGATTGTGGCTAAGTCCACAGAGAGCCACTGGAATTTCCTCTCCTGACAAAAATTGAGAAAAATGCTGATGATACAAATGCCATGTGCATTTTTTTTTTTTTTAAAGACAGAATCTTCCTCTATTGCGCAGGCTGCAGTGCAGTAACACGATCTTGGCTCACTGCAATCTCTGCCTCCCAGATTCAAGAGATTCTCCTGCCTCAGTCTCCTGAGTAGCTAGGATTACAGGTATGTGCCACAATGCCTGGCTAATTTTTGTATTTTTAGTAGAGACAGGGTTTCATCATGTTGACCAGGTTGGTCTCGAACACCTGACTTCAGATGATTCTCCCGCCTCAGTCTCCCAAGGTGCTGGGATTACAGGCATGAGCCACCACGCCCATCCCGTCCCATCCCATGCATTCTTATTAGTATTCCAGGAATTGCAACACTTCCTCTGGAATTTCCTCTTTCATCCACTTACTTTTCATTAAATGTGAGGTGAAGATGCAATAAAAATAATTAGAACTTTACCAGATTATGGGTATATTTGTGAGCATATTAACATTAGTATTACCATTGCTAAATGCCACTGGCTCAGGTACCTCATGTGCTTTAGAGTAGTAGCTCAATGGCCACGTCCAAGACTCCACAGAGATATGTGGGGATTTTGGAAGTGACAGATTTATGTGTGGAACCAGTGTTCTCTTATCTTTCTTACAAGGCAGATTGTCACTCTTTCTATTTACATCTTTGCTGCTTATGCTAAGAATGCTGGCCACCAGGCATAGCCATCTCCTGCTAGAGGCTTTCTTGAGCCCTCAAGGAATTGAAGCTGTCATCTTTCCTGGAGGGAATTAATTTAAATATTGTGTTCTCCTGCTCTCACACTCACCTAAACCCTTTCTTGTGTGTTGGCTTTAAGCAGTGCTAATTCAGGCTCTAGGTAACACAGGTGAACACTAGTCTGTAATCAACACATTTCCACAGCTACCTGAACTCTCTTTTCATTAAAGTCTTAAAAACAGTCAGTCCATTAGGCTGACTGGCCAATTGAAATCGCCAAGCTGTTCCTCGCTAGTGTCATGGCTGAATTCTTACTGAAGCCTAAATATAAAGCTCCTATGTATATAACTTATCTAAAAATGTATAACCACAAGAATTACAGTTTACTAGTCCTTCAATTGCCCAAAGTCAAAATTGCATCTTCATCTAGTTATTCTATAGTAATATTTAATATTTCTTAGAAAATAGGTGGCATCTATATTTTCTAAGATAAGATTGCATTTTCCTTCCATTCAAGTACTGGCATTCCTTGAATTCTATCAATTCTCTGCACCCAGGGTTTAAAATCTCTTATATAATGTCTCTGAAGAGCTAACACACAGTTCTTGCCAGAGGATGTGAGATAAATAGAATTATTCCAGAGACTCTGAGAAGCCCACGATCTATGTGGATGTATGCAGGTTAGTGCAGTGGTGGGGAAAAAGGGAGAAGATTAATTGCAATAAGTACTACTGTGTCCGGAATTGGTGGGTTCTTGGTCTCACTGACTTCAAGAATGAAGCCGCGGACCCTGGCGATGAGTGTTACAGTTCTTAAAGGCAGCGTGTCCGGAGTTTGTTCCTTCTGATGTTCGGATGTGTTTGGAGTTTCTTCCTTCTGGTGAGTTCGTGGTCTCGCTGGCTCAGGAGTGAAACTGCAGACCATCGCGGTGAGTGTCACAGCTCTTAAGGCGGCACGTCTGGAGTTGGGATCCTCCTGGTGGGTTCGTGGTCTCGCCGCTGAGGAGTGAAGCTGCAGACCTTCACGGTGAGTGCGGGGACGGGGCGCACCCTCCGCAGCTGCTGGCCTGGGTGCTAAGCCCCTCACTGCCCGGGGCCAGCAGGGCCAGCCGGCCCCTGCTAGTGCGGGGCCACCAAGCCCATGCCCACCTGGAACTCTAGCTGGCCTGCAAGCGCTGCATGCAGCACCGGTTCCCACCTGTGCCTCTCCCTCCACACCTTCCCGCAAGCCCAGGGAGCCGGCTCCGTCCTCGGCCAGCCCAGAGAAGGGGTCCCATGGTGCAGCAGCGGGCTGAAGGGCTCCTCAAGCGAGGCCAGAATGGGTGCTGAGGCTGAGGAGGCACCCAGAGCCAGCGAGGTCTGCGAGGGCTGCCAGCACGCTGTCACCTCTCACTACTAGTTAGTCTGCATTTATGGAATATTTTGAGCACCAACAGTGGAATAATAATAAATTGAGTTATAGGCATATAATGAAATTCTATACAGCAATGAGAATAAAATCTTCAACTACCCAACAACATTGTTTACTGTTTATATTGTCTATACAATATATGTTGTATTTATTGATATATTTAATAACAAATCTCACAAAAATATTGCATAAAAGAAGTCTGACACAATGGAATGAATGATACATAAAAAGGTTCATTGTATCATCAATAATGAATAATTTAATAATTATTAATTAAAATTAATATTATCATTGAATATTTGGTTGAGGTAGTTACCATAACATATATGATGTACCATTTTTGTAAATTACAAAAATCAAGCAAAGTTGATGTGTGCTTTTAGAAATCAGAATAACAGTTGTTCCTGGGGGGTTGAGGAATAATGACCGATAGAGGTAAGAGTGGGTATGATAATGCTGTATTTCTAGATGTGGGTAGTTATATAGGCGTGTACAGTTTGTGAAAACAGAACTATTCTTTTATTATATATGTACTTTTTCATGTATATATCATACTTCAAAAAAGTTTTTTAAGATATAAAAATATGCAGAATAAAATGGACAAGTTCTTTTTCATTAGGCATATCTTAAACCCACTCTTGTCTCTAGAGCAAACCACTATAAATAGTTTTATGCATATTCTTCCAGGTGTTCTTTTTATGCGTATACCTATATGCGTATGCATAGATAACTTGTACTTGACTCACAGAAAACCATATGTTCACATCTCTTTCAACTTTGTGGTCAGCAAATTCATGTTGATAGCTTGAAATTAGCCGTGTTAGGAGTATTTACACCACAGAAATTAAAGACTGCTACAAACCAGATTTTTTTTTCTCTGAGAGCAGGTTAATGATTTATAAATTTTTCTATTACAAAACAATATTGCACTAAGCATAAGTAACATATAACTTGAAGGTATTGCACCAGTGTCTCTTATTTTTCGAACTTTCTAATGAAAAGTCTGATATCCGAACAATTATTGATATCTATAGAAAGAGTTCCTTCACTCTCTCACACTCTGATTTTGATTGCTTCTCTATATTCTTGGGATTTTGAGATTTTACCACCATCTCTCCAAGTAAGATCCAATTTCTTGTGAAATAATCTCAGGAATAAGCATATTGGTGATGAGTTGTTGAAATTAGACATCCCAACATTCAGGAATGACTACAAGCAGTAGTCTATATAGGCAATTTCTATAACCAGCTCTTCTCCCAGTAGCAATGAGACTTTAAACATTTTGAACATTTCTAGGAGAAGTGGTCTTAGATGCTTGAGAAAACTAGAATTATACAGTGGCCAAGATTGGAAAAGGTGAGTATCAACATAAAAACAATAAAACAGTGGAGATTCACAGTCATAGAAACATGAATTAAAATTGTACCACTACTATTTATTAGCTGCATATTTAACTTTTACAAAATAATAAAATCTCTTTGAGTCTCAATTTCCTCAACTGGAAAAATAAGGATAATAGTTTTTATACATTTTTATTTTGTTATTGAAGATTAAATAGCCTGGTATATGTATATAAAGAAATTCTCTCAGTGTTTGGAATGTAAGAGGCACCCAAAATATATTAGCTTCTTCCTTGATTTTTTTTAACCCAAGCCATTGTCCTATACACTGAGGACTACAGGCCAAATTCTGGCTCTTTTCATTTTTCTGTATATACTCTCTATCTCACGGGTGACTGTTTGAGCTAGAGGTATGTGATGCTATATAGCAGAAAGAGCACTCTATTATGCTATTATCTTGCTCCTATGAAGTAATTGTTATATCATAGTAAAGAGGTCAAACCCTGTCTCTGTATCCCAGGCTCCTTATCTCAAAACGTGTAGGTTGCCTGGAAAAAGTCTTTACCAGACCCAAGTGTTTACCAGACCTAAAACTCTACAACATTATGGAACAGATTCTTCCATCTCCCTCTGTAAGAGTAAGAAGTGACAGTGAGGGCAAGGATGTAGAGGTTCAAACTGAAGTGGAAAGCCCATCTTTTCTCAATAAAAGTAGGACAACTGCAAAATAAGAAGGATAATGGCAATGTGGTAGAGAGTAGTGATTTGTCAGGGGTTTCAATGAACCTTCAGTAAGAAGGATTTAATCAGAGACTATAAGTGTAGAAATGAGAGTGAGTTCAAGAACTAATAAAATAAATAATATTGGATGAACACTTACTATATGCCAATAACTATGTTCATAATCTCACTTAGTCCTCACTATGCAGTTGTTTCTATTATTAACTTTCAAATGTGGAAAGTAAATCTTGATGAGATTAGTAATTTGACCAAGATCCTCCAACTAATAAGTGGCAAAACTTGTACTGAAATCTGTGCCTAGATGTTTGGAGTAAAGCAATATAGAGAGGAAAGAGAAATGACAAGAAAAAAAGGGCTAAAGGGTACCATAAACCCACTGGGTTAAGAAACTATGTCTATAAACCTTTGAAAACACATAATACACAGTAAAATGCGATGTTGATTAAGCACTCAAGAAATCATTGTAGATCAGCTGTTTCAAACACACACACACACACACACACAAGTTTAGAAAGAAGAGCCAAACAATATTTAAGTTTGTTCATAATTAATGACTCTAAAAGCAACCACATAATTTATTTGAAAGATTCAGGTGTTCCTCTATGCATAGTTCAATGGCTGTACAAAATGCATCTTTTATGTTCTTTGGACTGTGGCATATAAATAGACTAATCAGGAACAGACAATTCTTTGTAGGGAGTTAATGGTCCAGCTCTCATGCTCATGAATTTTTGAAATAGCATTTAAGATGAAAAGAGATTGTACTTCTTTTTTAGTCCTTATCCCCATTTGATGCTTGAATTCTTTCTAACATATTCCCACCAAGTAGTTATCCAACTCGCTCTTGAATAACCACAGTAAAAGTAAATTTACAACTTCCCAGAGCAACTAATTCCAGTTTTACATAGCTGATTTGTAGATCATCTTCTTCATGTTCAGCATCAATCACTTTCCCTGTTACTTTCATATCCTGGTTCTACACTTTGAGGTTATATTTAACTAGTTTAATTCCATTTCCCACATCCAACCTTCAAATTTCTGAAGACATCTCTCTATTCTCTCATTATATTTTATGTTCCTTTTGCTAAACATTCCCATTTTCTTTCCCACATGATATGGTTTTACATTCTCATTACTGCCATATAGAAATTTCTCCAGGATTTTGAGTGTTTCATTTTCTTTCCTAGAGCCAAATGCAAGATTCCAGGTGGTATTTGACTAGTAACAAAACATCCCTCTTGTTTAGAATTATTTTTGTTCACTCATGCAGTCTAACCTAATTATCACAATCAAAAGCATGTCTCTTTCTAGGGACAACTATCTTAATTTCACCAGATTAACAAAACTAACATTTTCTCATTTTGCTTCTATACACTACAAAGCACAGAGTTAAAGCAAACTAATAGCATCTTTTCTTAAAACATCTGTTTCAGACATAAATTCTGCTCATCCATATTCTGTGAATGATATTCTTGAAATTAAATATATGCATATATATATATATATATATATATATATATATATATATATATGCAAGTATTGCAGTGTCGCAGTCTGGCATATTTGGGAACTTTGCATGTTTCATATTGTCCTATTATTCTGGATGTTCTGTAAAGCTTAACTCAGGTTCTTGCCACCTACGACTACCTGGAAATTAAACCACTCTAAGAGGTTCAAAGTGTTTTTCCTCTCCACTGATGTGATTTATTTAATGCTAATGATTTGTTAACCCAGGTCATGTTACTCAGGTATCTTTCTTCTATCCAATTTTAGCTTTCTTCCTTTATCACTTTCTACTCTATCTCTTCCTTTCTGGCTTGCTGGAATTTTTGATAGTGGTCAATATTGCTCAATACAGAAGGAAGTGATGGCTACTGTGTATCAGATGGGCTTTGTATATGCAACTCACTTACTTCAGGGAAGGCTGCAGGGAAACTTAACTCCCATGGGCTGAACCTGGTAAAGAACTGGAATGAGTGTGTTCTGGGGAGTCATCCCCAATCTATATCAAAGGCTTAACTGTGTTTGAATAGAGTTAAACTGTGTTTATACACTACATTGTACTCCAGTACACATAAAACCATAAATTTTTCAGTAACCTTAAAGTAGTCTTAACATGTTTTTGAATTTCTATATCAGGATAATTTAAGACTCAACCTCTAGAGAAGTTATCTTTGTCCTTTTCCTTGTGTATTATTCTCATGCCTCCCAGAGTCATATTTGCTTAGCTTTCTGAAGAAGCAAACTAGTCTTAGCTTCAAGGTCACACTGAAACTGAATCATATTGAAGTATAATCTCAGAAAAAATAAAACTCAACTAGTGCAAGGAGTCACAGAAGGAAAAACAAGGAAAGTAGAAAAGTTCAAATGTTAATTGTATAATCTCATGTATTTGCAAAAGAAAGAATGGCAAAAGCTTTAAGTTTCTTCCAAGGTAATTTTTGTGTGTTTTCCACATTGCTACAGAGGGAAATTAAGCAGAATAGAAAGAGTAGGGAGTATCTTGATTAAATCAGAACCAGAGCTTTAAGGAATTCTCTCTCAAACCATATGGGTAACCATATGCAAGTGGCAAGTCATTTAACCCTTTGGCTCTGTTTTACTATGTGGGAAACAAAGAGTTAAATCAAGTGACGTCAATAGTTCTTTCAATTCTAAAATGAATAATTCTAAGAATTCCGCTCCAAAACACAATTCCAGAACAACCCTGACATACGCGTTTTAATCTAAAGATTTTCAGATGTGTGTTTTTATGAATGTCTGGGGATTTACATGTATTATTGTAAGCAGGGGTATTGTGTATGCATGTAAAAATAAGTAGGTTTTATTTTTTGGTAATTGAACTACTCAGTCCTCCAAATAATCAAAGGCTTCTCAAAATAATCACTAAGAGATTTTATTCACACATTTTTAAAGTTAAAATTGTTTTGCCCCAGTGAGGTAGTCTCTAATTTACTTGAGGCCGTGGACTCTATTATTCACCTTATTATTATTCACCTTATTATGTGCCAAGTACCTTCCCTATAGTAGGCACTCCTAAAAGGCTTCTATATTTAATCTTATAAAGATTTATCATTCTAAAATCCAAGACCTCTTTACTAAAAGCCAAAGTAGAAAAAAGTAATTTTCTACATCTGATACTGCAACCGAGATCAAATTTATACATGTATCTGAATTTTCTCCTTTAGACATTAATTCCTTCAAGACTAGTGAACTAATAATAAGCTGTCTACCAATTTCAAAGTAATAAGGTAAAATAAAGATAAAATAACACATACAGTGTTTTCCCCTGAGAAGTTCACAAAGGAGAATTATTGATTTTTAAAAATTGAGAAACTGATTATAGCAAAAAGTCACATTTTCAAAAAAGTATCCAAAGGACCTAGAAGAATGGCAGCAAGTCATGTCTGCTATAACACCCATGTTTTCTACAATATTATTATTGTGGAGTTATATGTCTCAAGTCTAATATCTAGAAACTAAGCAGATGATGTAACTCAATTTTCCAAGCTTATTAGGGATATAGCATGAAGTTTAGACAGGTGGAAATGCAAGTATGCCATGAGAATAAAAAAGTAGCCCAGCATTTGGGAATAATTGAAACAGAGTGAATTTCCCTAAATATAATTTAGAAAGTCAATTCTGTGTGTAGAAAATAAGTTAATATTGCCCAAATAATAGAATAGTATCATATGAATAATATAAGTTGTAGGGATTAGAGTTTGCCATAAATCAACACTACTGGGTAAGACTGTGTAGGAAATCTTTGGATAGAAAAACAAATGGTTTTGCTGCTCCTCCTGGCTTGAACTAGATGTGGTTATATAGTAATTAAGGAATTCCATGAAATACGGAACTCATGCATCCTACCTAACAGCTTCAGTTATAGCAAGACTCAGTTGTCTGACAGAAAATATAAGGCAAGTAATAATTGGAAAAGGGTATAAGTCAACTCCTACATTGGTTGTTAACATCTAGCTCCTTACCTTGGTGTTATGGGACATGACCCAATGTGGGCATGTTCAATTCATGATAGTTCATTGAGGTAAACCCTTGACTATGCATATTTCTGTGTACATGTTATACTTGGAAAAACTTTTTTCTAAACAAGATTCATTTACCAGTTCTTTGTCTAAAACCTTCTTTGAAGCTCTATATCACATTACAAATAAAAGCCTAGTTCTTTAATGGCCCACAAGGCCTTTCACAATACAGCCTCCCACCACACAATCTCCCACTGCTCTCCTCTTTGCTACCTTTTCCAACCATGCAGGCTTCTTGCTAATCCTTGAACCACTCCAACACAGTTTGTATTGGTGTATTTTTTTTCCTAGCTGTTCATTCTGGCTGGACATCTCATCACTCAGACAGATGTTTGGCTAACACCCTCATTGCCTCAGGTCATTGCTCAAATCTCTGCTTCTCAATCAGGCCTACACTGACGAGCTTATTTAATGTGGTAATCTGCTACCCACAGTACCACCAATGTCCCTCAGTCTTCAAGCATACTATATCATTTATTGTTCATTCTATTTATTATTTATTTGCTGGCTCCTTCCCCTAGTATGTAAGCTCCTTGAGCAAAGATATTTGTCTATTTTGTTTCAAGAAGCCTCAACAAATCTCAGTAAATTATTCAGCCTACCTCCACCTCAGGCAATGTAAAATACAGTTAAGTTCTATTAAAATGTCAAGCAAATACCATTTTATAAAAACTTGCAGAAAAGAGTAAGAGAGTCAAATATTATAAAGAGTTTCAGACACTAGGTAGTTAAAAAAGCAACACCTATCCAGTAAAACTAGAAATGTAAAGATGATATAACATTAAAAAATGTATTATTGTAATTTACATCAACAAAACAAAGTATAATCATTCCCTTCATTCTCTTCCTTACTACAGCTACACCCTTCTGCAGTCTTCCTATATAATCTTGGTAGATTGATCTGAAAATCCCCAATATTGCTCTATTTCTTTTCTCTGAACTACCATGACATTGTATGACCCCAGTTATTTATGTTTCCTTTTTATTTTTCTTTATTATGTCCCATGGCCACTTGACCTCTTCCAAGGATGTTTGTGAGCTTTAGAGTGCCATGTGTTCAGCACTCAGTTCTTTCTATTTGCTCTCTTCCCCAGTCGTGGATCATTAGTCATTCTTCTCAAGTTCCAAATCTACTTTGCCAACTTCCTGGGGTATTGTAAATAAAACTACTGTCAGGCATGGTGGCTCATGCCTGTAATCCCAACACTTTGGGAGGCCAAGGCAGGAGAATCCTCTGAGGCCAAGAGTTTAAGACTAGCCTGGGCAACTTAATGATGCCATGTCTCTACAAATTAAAGAAAAAAAAAATTAGCTGGGTGTGGTGACATGTGCCTGCAGTCCTAGCTACTTGGCAGACTGAGGCAGGAGGATTGCTTAAATCCACAGGAGTTTGAGGTTACAGTGAGCTATGATCAAATCACTGCACTCCAGTCTGGGTGACACAGTGAGACCCTGTTCCTGAAACGAAAACATCATGATTTAGAGTAAAGCTAAAGAAAGAAGTGGAAAGAAAAGGAAAAGTTAACTTCAGGTTTTTCAGCTCTGGAAAGAGCTTGGATAAGTGATGAGACCAAGTACAGAGCTGTTGAGGATCTAAAGAAGAGCCTCCTTTGGAGGGAATAAGATGATATCATCTTTGGATAAATTATTCAATTTTATATACTTTCACATTACAAAGTCTTTGAATAGTATTGTAACAGGAAATGTATATCAGGCAAGAGGCTATAGATGGAAATAAAATTTGAAAGTTATCCATTAAGAGGTAATGAAGATATAGAAGAAGACGACATGGTGAATCCAGTTGTGCCAAGGGTAATGTCATGGAGACACTCAGAAGCAGCGCAAGGGAAAGAAGAGGAGTTAGTAAAAGGGAAAGTAAAGGGAAAGTGGACCAGAGGAGCACAGTTATGGGTTCTAATGAAGTTCATTTGCAAAGAGGAACTGTTTGTACAGCCAGCAGCTATGGAAGGGAATTTCAGGAAAGATTAAACGTATGACTTTTTTTTTTTTTTTTTTTTTTTTGAGTCTCGCTCTGTCGCCAGGCTGGAGTACAGTGGCGCAATGCGCAATGTCGGCTCACTGCAACCTCCACCTCCTAGGTTCAAGCGATTCTCCTGCCTCAGCTTCCCGAGTAGCTAGTACTACAGGCACATGCCACCACACCCAGCTGATTTTTGTATTTTTAGTACAGACGGGGTTTCAGCATGTTGGCCAGGATGGCCTCAATCTCGACCTCGTGATCCGCCCACCTCGCACCTCGGCTTCCCAAAGTGCTGGGATTATAGGTGTGAGCCACCGTGCCCGGCCATGTATCACATTTCTAAAGTACCATTAATATGATAACCAAGAAAAGAATGTTGAATTTATAGACAGCAATTGTCCTTTTTGTAGAAAAATATTGAGCTCCTGTATTTCAGGTTAAAATGGCATGTCAATTCTTCAGACGAAGTAACTGAACATATCAAATAGTATCTTCAAGTCATATAGCTGGTAGAAGACTTGAAACTAGAAATCAGAGCTGAAACGAAGTCAAAAATTCTCACTTTGGTATGATTTCATGTTTCTGAAAAAAAAATCAAGTCATACAGTGCATTAAAAAATTTTTCTGATATCTAAGACTATGATAGAAATTTCATATGTATATATGTGCATGTATGTGTGTGTGTATAACAAATCACTTTTTTAATACCCTTGATGTATTAAATGCAAAGCAGAAATTATTTGGAAGATGAAATATATAGGAATACATTATAAAAAGTAATATTTGGATTTATTTTGTGACTAAGTTGTGAATGTTATTTTTACTATTGCTCTTAAAATATAATCTCTTAACACCTAAGTTGTTTTACTAAAAGGAAGCTATTGGTTAGAAAAACAGGCAACAACAGGTTTTTATAATCTTCATATTTTAAAAAACTGATACATTTCAACCCTGTAATTTTCTCCTGTTTCTTAATAACATGAATTTTAGATAAAGATATTCCAATGAAATTATTTTTGTTATTTAAAAAGATTAAAATGAACAATTTTTTCTGTCATACACATAATACAAATTATTTATAATACTTCTTTTTTATTTTTATTTTTAAATTGAAAGAAAATCGAAATCAAAACAAATTACCAAAGGACAAATCATTCTTTCCAATAACAGAAGATTGTTATGTTCAAAACAGCAACTGATTAAACAGACTATAAAACAGAACAGACGGCCTTCTAGTCCAATCTCAAGAAATTCAAGTCCAGAGGAGCAGGCTGACACTAGAAACAAGATTCCAGCTGTGAACCATTGTGAATGAGAAACTGCTTTTGCTTCTGTTACAGTAGGTCTAGCAGAGATGTAACCAGAGCTCCGTCTTGTGTCACAGGAAAGGCTCACAGCAGCAACACTCATCATTCCCCAATCCAGCAGGCTAGAACCTATGACCCATGCATAGGTTATAACAGATCTTCAGATCATAATTATGGTGTCTGAACATGGATGTGTACGCACACAAGCATATGCACACACATGCACACATTTTCTCTCACCATAATCAAAAAACTGCAAAAAATTTCACACATTTACATATGTAAAATTATCTAAAAATATATTTTTAAATAGTAAAGAAAATTTTGTATGATTCGTATTATATCTTGTTTTGAAAGTGGTTCATATTTTAGGAAAGGGGCAATGGCCAATACTTGTTTGGTTTAGTTTTGACTTTCATAGTATCATCTGTATTCCATGATTACATCTAACTTTTAGGCATCATGTCAAACGATGTTGATTATATCTGCATTTATAACACACATAGATTGCCTCTTCTGTCAAGGAGAAGATATAGCACAAATACACAATTCATTTTCAGCGCAGCCCTGTAACCACTGGTTATAAATTTCAACTACTTTCTTACCAGTATTTTCAATACCCTTGTCCAGCCAACTCTGAAAATCTGTAACCTTGAGTTGATTCAACTTCCTGTCTTCTACACCTTGTTGCTGCATGCTGCTGCAGAAGATGCTTGGACCCTGATCACCTCACAGCCATTATTCAAATGTTCTCTGTTCAACTTCTCTTCTCACTACCCAAAACGGGACCCCCATAACTTCACTATACTTCTCAGAATCTCAAAGCCCTCCTACTCCCACCACTGTTCTTCCACGACTTTGCAAGAAAATATAAAAGTCTACTAACCATGAGCTACTCTAACTATACTTCAGGGCTGCTGCATTCTATCTTTGCCCTCTTGATACTGCCTTTCTTGTCTGTTTCAGACAGTGAGACTTCTCCCTAAGCCTAACCTACCACCTTTAGCAAAGCCCATATTCTCTTCTGACTCTTCAACAATTATTTCTCTTCTCTCTCCTTTGAAATTTTGCCCTCATCCTATGAAACCATTTAAGTTATTACAGTTTTCTAAAAACTGTCCCTTTATTCTGTGTCTTCATCTAATACTCATCATAACTGTCTTTCTGAAAATAATACAGCATTTTTAAATTTTTAGCCAGATGAATTATCCACTTCTTTAACTTTCATTTACTTCCTTTCTTGATGCTGTCTCCTGGGTCTCTTCCTGACAATGAATGTGACTTTGTTGACCTCTTTACTGACTTTTCTTCCTCTCCACATTACTAAAAATGTATTATTTCTAAACTCCTTATGGTAGATACTTGAGAGATATAGTTCTCCATCTCATAGGACCAACCATAAGCAGTCATACGAACTGTGACTCAAGACTGTGCTTCAAATAAAAGAGGAATGAATTGATTCATTAACTCCCATCTCACATGTTCTGTCACAATGCAATCATGTTCCCACGTCTCTGGTAAAACATTCATGTGCTTCAAGAAGAGAGAGTCCTATGGTATGTCACACCTCTTTTCAGGGAATTGTCTGTGCTAGGAGGCAAAGGGTTCAACCAGAAAAGATATCGAGGTTTGGAGATGTGATTCTTTCATTTTTAGTACATATCATAGTTATAAGAACAATGCAATAATTCATTTGGCTCTCCCATTAATTGAGATTGAGCATGCACACACACACACACACACACATATCTACACACACACACATATGTATATATGTGTATATTTCTAAAGTACTCTTTGATATATATGTGTATCAAAGTACTCTTTTATGTATATATGACATATGTGTGTGTGTGTGTGTGTCTCCTGTGCTTAATTCCATGCCTAGAACATAGTAAATGGTTAAGTAAATATATGCCAAATAAATGAATAAATATATGTCAAGTAAATATATGTACTTGATGTATGTATATATGTATATATGTATACATATATATGTATATATATGTATACATATATATGCATATATATGTACTTGACATATGTATATATGTATATATAAATGTATATCAAGTAAATATATGTCAAACAAATGAGGTGGGTTAAGTAGCATTTTGTACTTGTTAAAAGAACTGGTTTGGAAATTTAACAAACACGATTTTGTATCTTATTTCAGTCCTATTGTGTGATCTTGGTAAGTTTTTGAACCCTCATGATTCTCTTTTCTCATAAGTACTATGTGAAGAATACAAAAAGATAATAAATACTCATAGATTGTTTTGAGTTTTTAACAATACTATGCACGCAAATCTGCTTATACTAGACTCTGTACATAGTAAATCCTCAGTTGCTTTTAATATTTCTTTGTCTTTAAATTTTTGTGATTATTGGACTTAGTTTTTATCTTGATTATTGTCCAAGTGATATATATACTGGTTCTAAAAGATCAAAGAGTACTTTAGATTTTTAATGAAAAATAGCAACCTTATTTCACCATTCTTCACTTCCCAATTCCATTATTTAGTCTTTGCTATTTATTCCATTATTTAATTTTATATTTATCAATAATATATTTAAACTGCTACTTTACAATTTAATTTTAATGTTATTAACTTGAGGAGGATATAACACTCTAAACATAATTTCACCATCCATAACTTTTATCTCTTGTTATTCTCTCAAAAAAAAGTTATGTCATAGTTTACAAAATATCTTCCTCCAGTTTTTTTTTTTATTGTTTCCAATATCTTTGCAAATTTTAAATGGTCTGTGATATGTATATAAGCCAAAAGGCCTAAGAGTTTTAGTATACAAAAATACTGAGTTAGATAATTGTTTAGGATATGATTGTTCGTTATTAAAAATTAAGCCTATTTGAGGCCAGGTAAGGTGGCTCACACCTGTAATCCCAGCATTTTGGGAGGCAGAGGCAGAGGGATCTCCTGAGATCAGGAGTTCGAAACCAGCCTTGCCAACATGTTGAAACCCCGTCTCTACCAAAAAAAAAAAAAAAAAAAAAAATTAGCTAGGTGTGGTGGCACACGCCTGTGATTCCAGCTCCTCAGGAGGCTGAGACACAAGAATCTCTTGAGCCCAGGAGGCAGAGGTTGCAATGAGTTGAGATCGTGCCATTGCACCCCAGCCTGGGTGACAGAGTGAGACTACATCTATAATAATAATAATAATAATAATAATAATAATAATAATAATAATAATAAAGTGTATTTGAGCTTTGAATGTTTAAAAAAATGGAAACAAATAACAAATATGGCATTCAGAATGAATAATTATCTGTAGTGTTTTCTGATGTGACATCACATATTTCCTTTTTCCTTTTATTTCAAAAAAAAATACAAGAATTTCTAAATACCCCTCTTGTGTTCACTAATTGTTAACTCTGCTATATATGCTCTTCCTTTCACTTTCTCTTAATAAAGGTACAATATATACCTACAAAATATACACATATGTTATGTAGGTATGTATTTAGTTTTTGACTAAACCTTTTGAGAGTGCGTTGCAGACCTTCTGACCCTTCACCTGTAAATATTTCAGCATATATCTCCGTAGAACAGACATGTTACATAGTCATAGTACACGTATAAAATTAAAGAAATTTAAAAGTGATGCAATAGTTATCCAATATGAAATTCATATTCAGATTTTACCAATCGTTTCAATAATATACTTTATAACAATTTCCACCAAAAATGATGTATCACAAGATCACACATTGCTTCTCATCAAGAAGCACGTAGTGTCAGTTTACTCTCTTATTGGATCCTTCAGATTTCTCCTGTGTACAGGAGCTTTGCTTTGCTTTGCTTTCTTTCTCTCTCTCTTTCTTTCTTTTCTCCTTTCTTTCTTTCCTTCTTTCTTTCTTTCTTTTTTCCTCTCTTTCTCTCTCTCTCCTTCCTTCCTTTCTTCCTTCCTTTCATCCTTTCTTTTCTAATAAATATTCCTTTGTAAACACAGGATAAATGAAAAAAAGCAACAGGTATTAGTGCTGTCAGAAGCCTGGGTTTCAGTATAATCAATTTTTCTCAATTATGAATTTCATACTGAATATTAAAAAAAAATAGTGTGGAAATAAGATGAGGAAAACATGATAGTAAATGTAGTAGTGAATGTGCCAAATTGATTAATTTGGAGATTTTTAAAAGAAGTTTGTCCCCTGTGTTGTTGAAAGTTATATATACAACTTGTTTAGGCAAAGAACCTTCATATCTCTATGGCATCTTCTATGTGTTGCTTAAAAAACAGGTATGACATTTTCCTCTAGAGTCCCCCAGTGAATTACACTGTGACTGACAGCTACTTTTAAAGATGATCACATATTTCTTTCTTGAGAGTCTTGTTTCAAGGAACTGCCACATAATTTTAATACAATTTAATCAGAAAGGGGCTATCTGGGTTGACTTCATTATGCATTCACACATTCAATCACACCAACATCACTTTTCAAATACCATCTCTTACAAATGGATGCTGTTAACTTTCTCAACAGTAAAGGCAGGCATGTGATTTCTACCCATCGGTGGCGACTTAATAAATCACCCAACATATTACAGTTTCACGCCAAGTTAGCACCTTCATCAGGGAATGAAATTAGCAGAGCAAATCCTGGCTAATTGTGAAAGATGCTAATTACCCACTCACCCTGTAAAATAAGGCATGAGTGATGTGTGGTGAGCCCCGCACAAAGTCATGAACACTTGGAAAAGCAACACTTAAATAAAGCTTAAAACTGCTTATGCAGAGAGAAATGAAGACCAGACAGAGAGCAAAAATATACAGCTAGTAGAGGGAGGAATAAAAGTGCATAAAAGTGCAGGGATTTTTTTTTTAATCTCATTTTAGAACTGTAGCAAGACTAGTGAGGACATGGATGACTCCAGGGATTCATTATGGGGCCTTTATTTCTAGGTCTCCAATGCAAAGCCCCATCTGATCATTACTGGGAACAAGTTCTCACTGGGTAATAGCTCTTCACAGCTGGACATGGGATACCTATAAAAGAAGTGACCTCCATTCAGTTAATCCTGGGGGGACGGAGGTCCACATTACAGACTGGCAGTAATTAGCTCCCCTGCTGGTGGTCTCTGCTAAGACTCCAGGAGCCAAACAGGTCACAGAGTGTGAATCCTGAGCAGGCATTTCAGAGGCTGCCAGTTCCCTTCTGATCTTGCCTGGGATGAGCTGGTGGAAGTGTGATGGGAGGATTTAGCCGTGTCACTGTCATTCTGGTACCCAGTCTTTGGATGGGACACTGTGTTCCCTGAACTTGTCAATTTGTCACCTTTCAGCAGCATGAGGCTTGTGTTAAGAGGGGAAGCATGTCCTTTTCTAACAATGTTGTTTAGGTGTGTGTTTAAAAACAAAAAAACAAAAACTGTACTACAACATGTACTATCTTTCTCTGCTCTTTCTAACTCCTCTGAAGATCTGAGCAATCGCTTAAGACTTCAGTACTACCAAAATCCAACAAAGTAAGCAAAACCTACACTCCTATCTGTCAGTCTCTTAAGACCCACACAGTAAATTTGCTTATGAAGGGAAATTATCACTTTACATTCAATTAAAATGTCCCTGACTAATGGCTTGTGAAAGCCACTAATGCAATTATACCATTTACAATTGCAAAGGTAACCCTGAGAGAGTGAGTGTGTGGTTAATTTATGTAATGATGTGAAGGTGATACATTATTAAATCCCTAAAGAGGCAATATGGGGATTCCTCACAAGATGAATTCAGTGAAATAATTTATATCAATATCAACAGGAAAGGAAAAGAAAGGAAAGAAGAGGAGAGGAGAGGAGAGGACAGGGGAGGGGAGGGGAGGGGAGGGAGGGAAGGGGAGGGGGAAGGGAAAAGGAAAGGAAGATAAAGGGAAGGGGAAAGGAAAGAGACAGGTAAGGTAAGGGATAGAGAGAGAAAGAAAGGTTCCATCAGAGAAGGAACATCATACAGAAACTCTAACAAAAAATGTTGCACATAGACAATCATCTCATCCATTATTTTGTATAAAAATTAACAATTTGAGCTACTTAATAACACACAAATAGGCTGGGGGCAGTGGCTCATGCCTGTAATCCCAGCACTTTGGGAGGCCGAGGAGAGCAGATCATGAGGTCAAGAAATCGATACCATCCTGGCCAACATGGTGAAACCCCATCTCTACTAAAAATACAAAAATTAGCTGGGCGTGGTGGTGGGCGCCTGTAGTCCCAGATATTCAGGAGGCTGAGGCAGGAGAATCGCTTGAACCCGGGAGGCAGAGGTTGCAGTGAGCCAAGATTGCGCCACTGCACTCCAGCCTGGTGACAGAGTGAGACTCCATCTAAAAAAATAAAAATAAATAAAAAATAAACACACAAATAAACATTATGACCCACTCTATGTTTGGTCTTTCTCTATTAACAACCTGTACCCTTGAAAATAATAATAATAATAACTAAAAGCTTTTAAATGGTAAACCTTTTCAAAAAAAGAAAAAAGTTTTCTCTTCGTATCTCAACATTCAAGACATACTCTACACAAAGTATACATTCCAGGAAAACTGAACTTTCTCTCTAAAATGTCCTGCATTTTACAAACTGTGTCATGTTGTCAATACTTCACTGTGCTACAAGCATCATCTCCCCACATTTTCCTCTTGTTAAAATTCTCCTACTCCTTGAAACCTATACTATGAAGTAGATTCTGATTTTCCACCAGCCCCGATCACTCTTTATGAAGTAACCTAGATTTACTCTGAACTTCAAGAGAATTAGCTACTTTTATATTTTAACCAAATTTTCAGTTTCTCTATGTTTCTTCACCTCTTTCTAAAGATTCTTACCATAGAAGCTTAAACTCTGTCAACACTCCCACAACACCTCACAAATAGTGGGTACTAAAAATTGTAGAATAAACATATCCCTATGCCCTGTGAATTTCTTCAGAGTAAGATTATGCCAAAAACTCATTCAAATATTTAAACGACACTATTACCTGTTGAATGTAGAAAGAAACCTAGTTGGTACAATAGAACTTGGAGAGTCAGGATTATGGAATCATGGGCGTTGGGACAAGACAGCAGTTTGATCATCAATTACAGTAACTTCATTTTGTAAATGGAAAAAGGAGGTTCAGAGAAAGGTGAAACAAAATTACACAGATGGGCAAATGGCAAACCAAGGACTTGAATCCGAGTGTTTACATTTAATTCAGAATCCTTTGGCTGCCTCAAATGAAAAATTATATATATGCCATGAGATACATACTTAGATTTCCAGAAAAGGTGAAAATCTATATTATTAAAAATCAAGCTAACTAAACAAACATAGGGACATTAAGACTTAATGGGGCACAGAAATAGGAAGTAAGAATATACATAAATAATGCAAGAGGAAGTAGTCTATGGGCCAAGTGAGTTGATATTTGGAAAGGCCTAAAAGAGTTCTCAGAAGAAAGCATCAACAATTTTATTTTGATTCCTTATGTCAGAGAGAAATTGAGTCGACCCATGGATGGGTAGTCACTAGAAAAGAAAATATGTAGGTAGGTAAGGGTGAGGGTGTCAAAAATCATGAATTCCAAGAGTTAAATAATAAAATCATTGACACCCAAAGTGTTTCCATGAAAAATCTGTTGATCAAGCTGGATTGTAAAATTCCTGGTAATGGGGATATTTGCTTTATGTTCTTCAAAATGCCTCCAGAACACAGTAAGTTTTTAGGAAATTATTATTAATATATGATTAAACCCATCAGAAGGGTAAGGATTAAAAATATTTTATCCAGAAAATCCTTTTTTAATAAAATTCAACAGCTTTAATATTTCTTAAAGTTTAAAAAAAATGCAAAAAAAAAAACACATTTTCAAATGGTGGAGGGTGTGCTGAACTGTGGGTGTGCCACATTGCCAATTATTCCCTTCAATATGCCAAATAGTACCCTCAGTAACCCAGAGGACTGGTATGTGCATGAATTTATACTTTCACAGCATGTAGACTTGTCATTTTTCCCAGATTTAAAAAAAAATCTGCCTGGGTCATGTTAGGGGGTCTCACAGGTATTGCAATAGCATTAAAATTGCTTTGATGTTTAAAAAAAATACATTTTCAGAACCTTATTTAATGTCATGATGTGTTTGCCTTCTAAAATATGTTGTTATGAACATGCAAGCAAACAGTAGCAAATATTATCTAAACTACAAACTTCATAAGAAAGCCAAATTGCAAAATATATCCATGCAGTGCCATAAAAAATATATAAAGATTAAGAATGTCAGTTATAATTGGTGATAATGTTGTAATTGATTGATTACTGATTAATTATTTATGATGTTCTTGTTGCTGAACTACCTGCCTTGACAGAATATTATGCATGTTAACAAAACAGATTGTGCCGATTTGGTTCTCGCCTTACTAATTCTTACATGTTTGTTTATTTGTTTTTAATTTACTGTAAAAACTGAATACTTATATAAATTCCAAAGTTATCGGACTTTATATTTTCTTCGGGTAGCTCTGGAAAAAACTTAGTGGTAGAATTGAAAATATAATTTGGGGAATTAGATAGAAGGGTGAATCTGTTCTCAACTTCTCATTAACCATAATTATTATTAGACATAAATATAGCTGTAGAAAGAAAGCATTTAATCTGCCATTCATAGCTGTAGCCTTCGGCCTGCCTCTGATCTCCCTCTATCTTACACAAACTGGGAATGCTTTGTATTTGGTTCCTAGAAGATAACAAAATGGCTATTTGTAGATCTACTTGTGATTTCTTGTTCTGACAAGAACCAGAGCAGCAGCAGTGGTGTCCTTCTCACCGTCAGTATCCCTGTCAGGGAAAGAAGGGTGCCAGCAGGGAGCAGTCTGCTCAGGCCTCTCTTGGCACCAGCAATCCTGGTGCTGACAGCTTCTTGGCTCACTGAACATTTTCAACTCTCACCACACAGTCCAGACCCTGAGGGCCTAAATGGGCTGCACCTACGTTTTTCTTCTGATTTAGCATTAAGTAATGTGTGCATAAAATAATTTAACAAATGTTCTATAACCATTTAAGCTACTACAATAAATATACTCTGATATAAAAATAACATTTCGACAGTCATCTGACGGATAACTTTTTTCCCTAGAAATGCTGCCTAGATGGAGGAGCACTGGTGCAGTAAATATGGCAAATTCTGCTGGTAACTTTAAGTGGTCACACTTAGGCAGATCATGTCTTAGATTAAAATTCATGTCTATTTCAAGCACATGGGTATTGAGGTCTTAGTTATTAGACACATAGGTACATGGAAAATTTACTTGACTTTGAAATGAATGCTTGAGAAATAGGCTACTGTTTTTCCTCTCAGCTTTGGGCTTCACAAGGCAGCTTATAACAATGAAAGCCCTTAAAAGCATTGATAGGTTAAGGGCTATTAGTCTAGGTCAGAAGAAAGGTCATTTAACTCAGTAAGCTTGGACACATAATCTTAATGCTTTGCTTTTTCTGCCAGGAAGATTCAGGGCTTTATTGAGGGACATTCAAATACCGAGTTGTTTAGTGGATAAATAACCTTGTAAAATCTCAGGCTCCTAACACAATGCAATCACCATCATCCATTGAACCTTGAAGGAGCTAATGACTCCTTTTTCAAGTGAGGGGTAATGCTCTTGGGTGACTATATATATTTTGTTCCAAGATCAATAATGTGCTGGTTCTCTGTATCTAACAGTTATTGATACATATCCAACTGATTCTGTTTCATAGCCTTCTGTTTATTTTGGAATGCTAGCTATATTTTTGAGAACTTTATTCAGTCTTATTTTAATTCCCTTTTAGCATATTCTTTTATTTATGTTATCTCAAGAGTGATCTCTTGTTGGGATGGTTCCATGAAATTAGTGTTTCTTACTGCAACCATATTTTTTTGGAAGAAATTTCTTGGCCAGCTGATTGTTTTCTCTTCATGCTCATTTCTCCATCTTTGTTTGGTCTGTGCTTGCTTTTCTAGGACCCCCCAGGTTTCGCAGGTGAGAACCAGTTCTTATATATCTGGTTCTGTATTGTGCTAAGAAAATATAACCAATACATTTTCAGAGTCAGTGTGTAGCTTGCCCCAGGCTCTGGTTGAGGGGTTGTCACGGCCCTTTCCTGACACTCCTGGGATATTGCTCACTACAGGCAACAGATCCTAGTCAGAGTCAAAGCGGTTTCCACTTTCCATTTGCAAACAGGTGCTCTGCTCCCTGACAGTGGGTGGGGCACTGTTAGAACTGCTTCCCCTGGGAGTGGAACTTAGAGATGACATTTCCAAGAGTCATTTCCAGGAGCGAAGCCCTATAGACTTGCCTCTTCACGCGGCTACTTTGTTTTCATTCCATTTCTTCTCCCCAGATAAATTTAACCTGTTTCTGGGCATGAGCATGTTTGTATAAGTATGTACTAATAATGTCTTGTCTGTCATGCTGTGTGGTTTTAGTATGGGGATACAGTGTGAACTAATTTTAACATATTTACCTCTTAAAAGCATTTTTTAAAATCTGTGTTTATGTAATCTTGAACAGCTTCAGAATAAGCTACATCTTATACAAAGTCCAAACAAAAGAAGAAATACAAACTATATTAGCTCACAACACACACACACACACACACACACACACACACACACAAGATATTTATCTAAGCATTAGGTTTCTAATTCCAAATGTGAAAAGAATATGAAGGCAATTTTTTTTAAGATCGGTAACAATATTTTAGAGTTGAGGGAAAAAGAAAAAGAGCATGCTCACAATTTAAGGGACTCTGAGACTTGAATATGTAATTCATGGGGGTATAATTTATCAACAAAAATCATGCTCAGACTGCTATCAATTGAGTACAATTAACCTCATCCTGTAAAATATCTTACTCTACAAAATCTATTACTCCATAAAATCACTTGCTCTGTAAAAATATTTTAATGCAATATCAATTAATATTTGACACAAAAGTTAAATTTTAAAAAATATAACATTTCATTAAAATACTTTATTGCTCAAATATAAAAAAGCTTAAATTAGTAACATTAATATTCAGAATAAGCAATAGCATGAACCGTATTACTTGCTGGTTTATTCAGCTTAAAATTCTAAGAGCCAAATGAGGAAATAGACATGATATTCAGTAATAGGTAGAATATTTTTTTCCTCCATTGGAAATAATCCATTTCTTTTAATTATTTACATATTAATCTTATTAATGCTAGTGATATTATATAAGCCTAAACATCCTTGTGGCCAGACTCTCAGCATTCTCTTCTAGTACTCTGTCACCAGGCCTTCACCTCTCCCTCTTCTCTCTCTCCTTAAATTTTTGTGTTCTACTCTTAATAACACTTTGGAAATGTGTGAGTAACTTAAAGATATGGACTTAGGTTTGCTGTTTGCTCATATGACATCTACCTTTATTCTACGTGTATAAGGTACTGTCCTGCCAAGATTGACTCTGACAGAAAATGTCAAAGAGATTTTATGTGTCAATATTTCATCTAGTCCTTTTTTAAGACCTCCTTTTTCTCCTTTGAGACATTTTCTCAAAGCAGAGTAGTCTTCAATTGCCAAGAAAATGCTACTATTGTTCCCAATTCTATCCAATTTCCTATTCACTCTCAGTTTTCTTTGTCTGCTTATTTAACATTAAAACACATTTTTATAAAGGGCAGTTGTGTCAAGTTTTCCAGCTATATCTTTCTTAAAAGCCCTTTATTCTTATTTAAAATACCAAGATTAACATATCCACATTCAGTTTAATCTCCTTGCTTTAACTAACCTAAACTTTTATGTATCAGTAACACTGGTTCCTGTCCCAGGTTGAAGGGTAAAGTTCGGGTGCTAAGAATAAAAGAGATCTTTGAGTTGACAATAGTAGCATTTTGTTAGCTATTGAAGGCTACTCTACTTTGAGTAGATGTCTCAAAGGAGAAATAAGAGAACCAAAAGTTGAATTAAATTCACTTCCAATTGCATTACAAGATTATATGTTCTTATAATTATTGATCTTTCTCAAGCAGCCCTTGTAATAAATATTTTTTGTCCCCAAATCCTTACTAATTCATTATCCTGCCATTTCTCTCCCTTTTAGTTGCCATGCTGAAAGAAATAAGTTAAAATTGCATGCAAATGTATCACTACAGTAACCAAATTTCAAATACTCTGTTGGGAAATAATGTGACTTGATGAATACACTAATAGTAAAAACCTGAATCAAAGAACAATGAGAGCTTTCTGTAAAATGAAATGCACAAAATGATGTAAAATTACGGTGTTCATGTAGTCAGTGTGGACACTCTTGAAAACCCATTGAGAGATTAAATATTAAAGGGTTTTATAAACTACATAACAAAACAGTTTATAACAAAAGGGTAAATTTTGTTAGGTGGAACAAATTTAACATGCTTGCAGTAAACACAATTAACCTTGTGATATAGTTTGGATGTGTGTCCCTTCCAAATCTCATGTTGAAATGTGAGCCCCAGTGTTGAAAGTGAGATCTAGTGGGAGGTGTTTGAATCATGGAGGTGGGTCCCTCATGAATGGCTTGGTGGCCTCCCCATGGTAATGAGTGAGTTCCAGCTCTATTTGTTCTCCTGAGCTGGTTGTTTAAAGAAGCCTGGTACCTCCTTCTCTCTCTTGCTCGCTCTCTCCCCATGTGACTTGCCTGCTCTCCCTTCGCCTTCCACCATGAATAAAAGTTTCCTGAGGCCTTACCAGAAGCTGAGCAGATTGGCACCATGCTTGTACAGCCTGCAGAACCAAATAATTTATTAAATTACCCAGTCTCAGGTATTTCTTTATAGCAACGCAAAACAGAATAACACACCATGCTTCTCCAATTTTATGTATTTTAATTTATGTATTTTAGTCAGTCCCTTACTTATTAACTGAAATAAGTAATTTGATGTCTATCAAAATATTGGTGTCTAGACTGAAAAATGTTTAGTATTGAGAAATAAAAGTCCGTAAGATAAGATTAGTGTTATGCAGTAGAAAGATAGTGAGCAGAGAATTTAAAAAAAAAAAAACACCACTGGGTTTAAATCCTCAAGAATGTCATAACCATGTGGTCTTGGGTAAGTATTTAAACTTTTTTTCCTTGTAAAATGAACTCACTGCAGAGTTGTTGTGAGAGTAAAGGCAAAGTTACTAGTTGGGTATTTTGTACCAAAAGATACACAATGATAGATTATATCATATTCCTTATTATTGCCATAAAAATTATTTCAACAGTGTATGCTATTTCTCTATTCCTTTAATCAAAACTCAGATACTGAAATATTCTGAATATATACTTTGCTCACAAAACATTTTGCAAAGCTGTTACATATTCAAGACCAGAGAGCAAAGCCTTTAAACTGTAGGAATATTTATAAAGGCAGTCTTTACCACTAAACGTAAACTAGTGAGTCTCCACTTTACCACCTAAGTTCAGAAATGATACACATATTTTTGAATTACCTATAATAAAGAGTAAAATGCATGTTAGAAAGTTAGTAACTAGGAAAATCTCTCTGAACATACAGACAAAAGCTTAGTTGATTAAGTGAAAAATGAGAAGTCATATAATTTTTTGTTACAGCTTTATTAAAAATAGATATGCAACGTCATTAGAAGACTGTCTCCTTATTAAATAGGAGTAGATAAGTTTCAACCCTTTTACAATTTTGAAGCCACTATCTATAAAGAGCAAAAAATTGATGTTTGAAAATGGTAAATTAAATTCATTTTGCTTACATAAGCAATCATATTTAAGGAAAAGTATTTTAGAATTAGGTTCCCTAAAATAAGTGGGCCTCCTATAACAAACCCTACTTATATGTCTATAAGTAGAAAATAATTAGAAACAAATTCTGGGTTAAATGGTCATGATAATAGCATAGATTCCCACAGGCATAAAAGAACCATGACAAATCACAAGTTTAATATCCTTCTGTCTAGAATAAACTTCACCTTCTCTAAGTCCTATAGCTAGCTCCTCTTTGACTATAAATCCTCTGAAGAGGCAGTTTACATATAACACTGGTGTTAAATATAGTCTAGTCCTTTGGGTATTTACCTTTAGCATTAGATATGCTCATTAGCCTAAGAAGAGAACAGAAGCTTTGGCTGCATATGTGTTAGTGAGAAGAAAGGATTTTCAGGAGCGTATTCTAGCCAGAGTCAAGGTTAATATGCCTTGGCTTCTATTACTCTAAGGACTGCCAAATCTAGTGGGGAATATGACCTGCCACCGTGTCATCAGCTCACATCTGCTAGATGCTGACAATAACCCATTTTGGGGCTAAGTATCCTGACAAATAGCACTTTCTCATGATTTATTTTTGGCATATCTTCAAGTATTCATGAACACTGCCAGGAAAATATCAGTTGTTCCTATAGGAATTCTTAGAATGGAAATTAATTATTTCCTTACTTATGGTTGTTATGTACTGACAGAAGGTAATGAAGCAGAAAAATTCACAGGCAAAATAAGCTCTTACTGATGGAATATTTGTAAAATGTTAATCATGACTTCATAGTGTACTATTAGACAAGAAACAATCAGAAGAATTACAACCTAAATAAGAGGCAACAGAAAAAAAGTTCTTGCATAACTGTGTGTTATATAGAAAGATTATAATTAATGTTAATAAAAAGTGACGGCTTTGTTATCCTTTATTTAGACTTTGTATAAAGAAGTAAAATCTGTTGGCATTTTGCTGATCATGAATTGTCATGTGCCCAAAACTTAGATCTTAAGAGAAGAGGAGGCAGAAACTTCTAATTTTAATTTGGCCAGTTTAGTTGTTCAAATTTTTAAATCATAAATATAATATTTCATTCTATTATGTGAAAAACAGAGTAATTTACAGTAAGCTATAAAAATTAAAACATTTAAATTCAAGAATTCCTTTTTTACAAAAATCTGTGATTTGTGGACCATTTAGAAGCAAGAATTTTTGTAAAAACTTAAGTAGACTTTGAAGGTTTGAATTACATAGCTAAAGTATCTGAAAAGTTAGGTGGAATGTCCCTCCTCAACTTAAAACCTCAATAATTATACTTTGATTTGAGGCAAAATTAGGATTTACATTATGACAATTCTTTTTGGAAATCAAACATCATAATTTTGTGGCTATGTATTGTTGAGTGACAGTGGAGCTCACCAAATATTCCATCTGCATTCCTATACCTTGCAACCCACTTCCCTGCCATTAATGGAACCACTGAACATCTCCAACCATTAAACTGTGAGCAAATGTGATTTGAGTTACTTCTGGACCTACAAATAAAAATAAACTGGTAAGCAACAATATAGCAGTTTCTCCCAAAGCCATAGTGATTAAAGAGCCCAATATTCCAAATGATGAACCTAAATTATTGCCTTAGTCACTTTATATGTATATGTTTCATTTAACACTCACAGATATCCTGTGAGGTAATGTTATAATATGTATTTTATCAAGTAAAAAACTAAGGATAAAGTTGGTTAAGTCACAGGCATGATATACATAGTGGTTAAGAATATATATATATCCTGAGATCAGAGAGAAAACCATTCAAATCTTATCTCTACCATTTATTCTTATGTGATCTCGGCCTGGTTATTTAATTTCCTAAAGTCTCAAACCCTTCAACAGAAAAATGAGAAGTGTTATAGTACTTCCTAGTAGAATTATAATGAGAATTAAGTGATAAAAACACATGTTGAGCTCTTTGCATATTTTAAATACTCAATACTGGAAAGCTGTTTTATTCTATCATCATAAACTCTTAATCTTTAACATTTTTTAATGATTAGGTCAGGAGATATGGAACATCAGTTTTAAGATGGGACATTTTCACATTACAGAGAAGCAGGTGCAAACAAATTTGTCAGTATGCTGTAAAGATACTAATTTCTTACATGAATAGCATTCTTTCCTCTATGGTTCATTTTTTAAAATGTGGCCAATACACATTACCACTCTTATACTAAAATTAAAGCATTGAAGAACTAGAAGTTCTGGGTTTCATAGTAAATTATTCAGAAAATGTTTAGTTTCCATCCACTTGTCAGTTTTAAGCTGAACACATTTTGAGGCAGGGAGATAGAGGTGTGAGAGGAGTTCCATTGTTAAGATTCCTTAAATTTCAAGGTGTCTTTGAACAGTATTTGTCCCTAAGAATTAAAGGAATGAGAAAGATAATCTTTCAAAAATGATTATCTAAAACTGCCAATTGCCTGAGTAAATCTTTCAATGTCATTTTAAAAATCTCCTCAAAAATAAGGTTCAGACTTTTTAGCATATGAATATTTTGATTTACTCTCTATTTTTAGGCCCACCCCTATCCTGTTCTAGTTTGAGTTCTGTTAAACTATATTCAGTCCCCCAAACTATCCATATTCACTTTTTCTCTGGTCATTACACTTGCTGGCCTATGATAAAAATTTCCCATTGCAGACCTGGGAATTATTGTTTCCCAAGACAGGAATACAATACAATTAAGAACAGTCATTTTCAGGGACAAGGAGAGGAATTGTTTGGAAGATAAACCTTCCTACTCCGTCAAAAGAGGCCCAGCAGAGACAAGCAGATCTGAAAGACTGAGAATGAGAAAGAGCAATAACATTTGAGCATCTGCATCTAGTCACATATGAAGTCAAAATCATCTCATATGACTTCCTATACACATAAGTTAAAAAAAACTTATTTTAACTTATTTTCATTGCAGCTATACTTATTCAAACAGATTTTACATTTTTGTCAACATTTCCCTAAATATCCTTAAGGTGGGGACTAAATTTAGTGTGCATAGAATTCCCTGGAGAGGGTTGTTAACCATAAATTTATGGCTTTATTCATAGAATTTCTGATTTAACAGTTTTGAGAAAGAACAGGAATTGTTATTTTTCAGCCACTACCCTTTTGTGTCTTATGCATCTGAAGGCTTTCGTGCCATAAGAAAAACCAGCTTGAAGGATTAAGAAATGATATGTTTTGGTAGTGCTTAAAAATCATCAACAATAATGCCTTATGCAAATATTAGGGCTCCTTCTTGTACCTGCAAGTATACACACAATAAATAACATTTTCTTTGCCTAGTGAGATTACTGAAAAGATAAAATCAATGACTGTATTCTTACAGAAGCATCAGCCTGCTCAATAATCACTGGTGTCTTTCCTCAACACTCAATACCAGTGCATACTAACAAATGATCATTGAAATTAAGGGCCTCATATTGTACTAGGTTCAGGACAGCTGTTCCAGAATCTTCTAACATGAACTTATAATACTTCTCACTGCTGATGGCTGCCGTGGCCTATGCCATTGCACCATCTGCTCAGCTCTCACTCACCAGCAGCTGCTATTCTTGCTTTGGCACCATCTGCCTGGCTATCTCTTCATCCCATCTGTACTACTCATTGGCACAGCTAAAATTACAACACATTTCACCCTCTATTCCTAAACAGAGGAATTCCTGAGTCATTTCTCCTTTTAGATTTAGGGAAGCCCTTTGTGGAAAATCTATAGAACTCAGTTAAAAAAATCTCTTTTCTCTCACAATTAAAAATTTCACACTATTAATGATTTTTTTTAATCTATCAGGAACTTTTGTCTTGATTGACATAATAGAACTACAGAGCTTCATAAATGCAATTATAATGATACTTGGTGTTTTGATAACATATCTCCTTTAAAAATTTTTAATACATATCTAAAAATAGAATAAACTTTTAGAGATTTTAGCAATTTACATGTATAAACCAATCTGGTGACTATAAGTTTGTCAAATATTTGATCAACAAAGAAGTATGAGGAAAATATTCATACTATCAATGAAAAATATAACATTTGAAAGACATAAATTGGTAACTCAGCTTGGGAAATGGAAATGAATGTGAGTGATGGAAATATAAGACCTAGAATGACTGATTAAAAGTCTGTATTTAGAAGAGTTAAACTTTCTCCCCACCACCCTTCTTCAGTGACTTCCTTTATTTATACAGGCAGATGACTCCTCTGAAGAACTTAGGAAAGTTATAAATTGAAGAAACTAAACAAGAAGAGCTTTGAAATTAGAAACCAAAAATGAAGCAGAGGGCAATGAAAAATTGTGAGGAAAAAATGATAGCTTATTACATGCTGATTCAGAATTTTCAGTTCTAACCTTCCACTCTGCTCCTATAATACCAGCAGCCAGGTCTTTAACTCTTTCCTAATTTAAATTAAAGAATTTTTTCCTGGTCGGTGGGGAGGGGCTCCAAATTTTGACATTTGAAGTGCTCAAATAATTTTTTCAAAAAAATCCCAGAAAACCTTGATTTTTATGCAAATATAACATGAATTTGTCAAACGTGTCAAATGAAAAACAAATCCAGGTTTAGTACAGACGTTTATTTGAAAGCCGTATTGCATAGGAGGGAAAGGGGCTATTGCAATAAGAGAGAGAGAGAGACCAGAACTAAGTCTGAACTAAATTATGCAGGAGCAGGAGGCTGCAGGTTTTTAAAGACTGGGGTGAGCTAGTGGAAAAATATTTAAAAATGTTAGAGTGCAGTCACAGGGCATCTGTGTTTGCTAATTGGCTTTATCCAAAGGAAAAATAAATTTCTCATATCTTTATGACAGGAGGCAGTTTTACAACTTGGAGCAATATACCTACCAGAGTTAGGTCCCAACGCTTTCACAGAAACTGGAAGATAGGGTTACCATCTCCTTTGAAATAATTAAAAACAATTCTGATAAGACAGGGAATTTTTTCAATGTAGGCAAATTTCATAGAAAGTAAAGAATAATATTTCCTATTGAAGGGGAAGAAATTAGCCAATAAAACAAAGGCATAAGCCCATCAGAAATGAGCAAACTTTGTAAAAATTTTAATATGTGTTATGGCTTCTATTCAGACTCAGCTAAGATAGAATTGTCTTTCTTTATATGTTCATTGCTGTATTTGCTTTTATATTCTAGAAGAAGCTGATATTTTGAGATAAAATTTTTCTATATCTCTTTGGGAAGAAAGCGCACACACATACACATATTTCTGTCACTATTGCTCATCATATCGACTCCACTAGCAATATTAACTATTAACTTTTAACGAGAGTGATCTATCTTACATAGTATATAAAGAAATGGCAGGTAGATAAATGAGAATTGATTCATACAAACGTTTTAAAATATTAACCAAGTGCATGTAACTGTCAATGTTGAATTTTATCTGAGCACTATGTTCCTAGAAAGCAGCAACAACAAAGAAGTTCCCCACCCTTGTGATCATGTGTTTCATGGCAAAGATCTGTCATATTCTCACATATTTTGAAGTAAAATACTTCTGCCTCCTTGTTCATGACGTTCATACACTTGTGGATTACTCCTTTGTTTGCCAGCTTCTATTAAACCCCAGATTCTTCTTTTTCTTCTGGGATGTTTCTCATTAATTAAAATTCTCCTTATTACAATAAAGTAAATAAGATCATCTCCTGAATTGTCCAGTGCACTTTGTCTTTTAAATAGCACAACTTTCTACAGGCATGCACATTCTTTTATAATAATGTATTAATAAATTCTTGAGGTAAGAAAACATTTTATAGTCATAGGTAAATGTCAAAAGTTTCTTGTTTATAAACTCACAGACAAGCACATAAAGAGCTTGAATTATAGCTTCAGCTCTAGCTCTACAACTTCAACTACAGATTACAAATAAACACACACAAAAAACTCACACATTTCTTCCCATGGGGCATGAAATTATTCATATATTTGAGCTCAAAAATAGAAAAATATATGAAAAATATTAACAAAATGAATTCTTCATCATCTCTCATGGGTGATAGAACACATTTCTGTCATCCTTCAGCCATAGTCATGAAATGATCAGATGATAAAGCCAAACTCTTCCTAGTTACTGCTACTAATGGAGAATAATTTAGTGGTTGTTAATGAACAAAAACAAAAACACAAAATCAAAAAAGAAGATGAAAAATTTTAGAATAAAAGAGAGTCAGTGAAGCTAAGGTTCTATTGTCACTTGGAACTCTCATTGGGAGCCAAAAAAAAAGACATCCCTGAGCTTTAGCATCATGTTAGATACCCTTCTTTATCAATACGCTTTACCTGTTAGAGCCAGGTAAACTGTACTGATATACAGCTTATACAAAATATAAACCACATTGATGTTTGATTAATCTACGGTGAACTTTACCAGTTTATAAGACCTGCCCTCATGTGCTTCCAATGAATGTCTATAGTGCCTCACTCTTAAAAATGAGCAGATAGCTGAGGATCAGCAAATATTTTAGCATCAAAATGAAAGGTACCAAAGTCAGCAAACAGGTAGAAGTATTGTACAATAAGCAGAGGTAGTTCGGTTTACATCATTTTAAGAGAGAAAAATGACTACATGTTGTTAGATAAATATGCTCATTATATTATCACTCCTGTCAGAAATAGCTGTTACATGATTTACTCAACAAACACAAATATTGATGTTCCAAATAAGGTTTAAGAGGTAAAGAAGGCAAATGAGTACAAAAAAGGTAGGCAGAACCATATTCTGAGGAAAATTATCTTCTAACCAATAATATAAAATATATCATAAAAACTATGAAGAACCACTGGAGGATTCTATGCAGGAGAAAATAATGTATAAAGTGCTTTCACAAATATTGGCATTGCTGAAACATAACACATCATAGATTTACTTGAGGATTTTCTAATGTTCATCCTTACTTTTTAAAAAACAAAACTCTTAAAATAAGCTACACATGATTTACTTCTAGTTCCTTCTTTTTTAGAAGTTAAAGTTCATTATACTACATCCTAGAATTTCAAGGTCTAAATTACTGATTCTAGTACTATGTAATCCATACGAGATATTTCTTTTTTTTTTTCTAAGGTTGATTAAGGATGATGAAAGAGAAGCAGTTGGAGAAGTGGAAAAGAATATGCCTATGATACCTCCAGTCTGGTGGGTTACCCTATCTGACTGTACGTCTACAGGAAAAGAATCATTTTCCCACTGACTGTTCAGAAGTTATCAGTTCATCCACCTGTTTTGTGCAATAGGAATGTACAAAGTTCATGGATTACTTGGCAGAGGCTTAAAGAATTTTGTTTATTTTCACATTTTTAAAATTAGCACTTTCAAATTTATCTCTTTGTTGTTATTTTTTCTGATTCTCTAAGTGACCTGTGTCTTCCTCTTGTCATCTTTCCTTTAAATGTTTTCTCCATTTGTTATCCATTGCTCCTTGAAAATAGATTCTGGACCCCTTGTCCTTTTTGTTTATTTCATTCAAGCCTCCTCGGTTTGTGAAATATAAAGGATGACTTTCTCTACCCAAAATGTTGCTGTCTCTGAAGGGAGGAGGATTGAACTTGGCTTCCATAGAAAATGGTGACATTTTAAAATTTAAATGAGCCCAGTGTTGTGTGGGGAGAGTTACATTCTTGAGTTCACTTTAGTCTCATTACTCTTTTGTCTCTTGGAAATAGATGTGTCATAACATCTGACCTAAAGTATGAAAGATAATGAGGAACTGAAAAGGTAAGGAGACAGTAAGGGAGGTAGTATAAAAGAAAACTTGCACATAATACATAATAACACAATACTTGTTAAAAATGACAAGGAAAACTTTATTCAATACTATCGTAATAAGGGTTAAGATTATATTGCAATGGGAAAGGCAGATTGAACTCAACTCCATTGAAACAAAAGGCTGGAGGATTTTAAAACACTGGAGCCAGCTAATTGAAAAGTACTGGAGGATGTTGAGGGTGCTTGGTCCATGTGATTAGGTTATTCGTGTTTACTGATTGTTGTGTGAAGTTAAGCTTCTACTCTCCCACAGAGTTTAAAAGACAGTCTCTAGGTTCTATATGATTACGATTCAAAGCAATAGTTCCAAAGTTCTTGAGAAAGATGTTCCTGGGTTATATAAGGTTTACATCTCAAAGAGCCAGAGAAAAAATTTACAATTGCCAGTTTCCCAAGTAAATGCGGTAAGAAAAGGTAGGTCAGAAGCCTATAGTCAGAAAGAATCCCGTCTGAAGTTCAGGCAAACTGAGAGAAATATTAAGGCAGTCAATAGCATTCTAAGAAATGAACACTTAAAATCCTGTGCCCAAATGTGCTGTAATAATAAAAGAAGAGGTCTCCATTTCTTCATCCTCATTTTTCATTTCCTTTTTCCTTTCTTTAACAAATCTTTACTGTACAACTTTTGTTTGTTAAATACTTTGAGAACCACGAAGTACATGCACATTAAAAAGTAATGCAAACTTTCAATAGCAATGGGAATTAAGCAGTAGAAATTAAGACTTTTGGTCAGATCTATCAAATGCCAGGATAAATTTTTGCTAAATAATATTCAGATGAAAAATTGATCCAGAATGGTACATCCATGGGCAGAAATAGGGTTATTGGAGAAACTAGCAATAATTTCTCCCACATAATCATATTCCTTTTACTAAAATATTGTAAGAAAGTCAAAGAAAGGGGGTACCAATTCTGGTGCATAAAAGCTGCTTTCTAGGATGAGCAAAATATAGTGGGCCCTTGAACAACAATGGGAATTGGAGGCACCAACCCCTTGTGCAATCAAAAATCCATGCATAAGTTTAGCTTCCCCAAAACTGAACTTCTTATAACCTATAATCGACTGAAAGTCATACCAATAACAAAACAGTCAATTAAATGTTTTATATTATATGTATTTTTTATTGTATTCTTACACTAAAGTAAGCTGGGGGAAAGAAAATTTTATTTTTAAAAATCATAGGAAAGAAAATGTATTTGCTATTCATTAAGTGGGAGTGGATCATCCTAAAAGCCTTCATCCTGGTTGTCTTCCCTTTGAATGAGCTGAGAAGGAGGAATAACAGGATATATTGGTCTTTCTGTCTCAAGAATGGCAGAGGCAGAAGAAAATTCACATGTAAGTGAACCCATAGAGTTCAAATCTATGTTCTTCAAGGGTCAACTGTAATAACCCTTCATTAGTAACTCATTTTTTAAATTAATGCTAGGACCTCCATTACTTTGTTTTAATTGGGAGCCCTTATATTTAGGGTTTATTACTGGAAAAACAAAAAAAAATGGCAAGCTATTAGTGTTTTTTGTTTTGTTTTCTGTTATTCACAATAAACTAATCAGGTTATTTGATATTTTTAGATATTTGATCTGTCAGGAACAGTAGAGTCCTTCCTAGATTATCAAAATTCCATTTAATAAAGGAATAACAAACACAAACATAATAATTAGATATTATTCGTATTATTCTGCCATTTAGTTGCTTTCACAAGCATGATAATTTTTAACTCCAACCATGTTTGTTTGTTTGTTTGTTTGTTTTGAGAGGGAGTCTCGCCTGTGGCCCAGGCTGGAGTGCAGTGGCGCGATCTCGGCGCACTGCAAGCTCCACTTCCCGGGCTCAAGCCATTCTCCTGCCTCAGCCTCCCTAGTAGCTGGGACTACAGGCGCCCACCACCGCGCCCGGCTAGTTTTTTGTATTTTTTAGTAGAGACGGGGTTTCACAGTGTTAGCCACGATGGTCTTGATCTCCTGACCTCGTGATCCGCCCGCCTCGGCCTCCCAAAGTGCTGGGATTACAGGCGTGAGCCACCAGGCCTGGCCAGCTCCAACCATGTTGACTCCATATTGAGGGCCGGTCTCACTATATAATAAAAAGCTAAATAAAAACTTAAAAACAACAATCCAAAAAACCTGCTAAAACAAAATCTAACTTGGATAGGGCAGGAGGGAGTCATGGAATAGTTCACCTTCGAGACTGGATCTTGAAGGATTGGAGATGAAAGCAGACCATGGGGCAAATGTGAAAAATGAGATTTTGATCCTATGTAATATCTCTGAGAATGGTGTTGTAGCAGGTTAAGCAAGCAGTGGGCACTGCAAAGGTTTATTTATCAATAGTATAATTAGATCACTTCAGGCAGTCATACCAAATAAATATGTCTCTTCACAATAAAGGAAATACACCCTACTGTAACAATCTATACTGAAGATTTTTGCTTTTAGTCCAAGCAGATTTTCTGATTATATGTAGGTAGAAAATGGGAAGGGGGGAACCACGTTAGTATATATAGGACAATTGGCTCTAGGGGGAATTACAGAAGCAGGAACTAAACTAAATTTGAATGTGACCCAGCAATATAATTTCTATACTCAGTAGAAAAATATGCACATGTATCCCGAAGAAGTATCCAAGAATTTGTAATGCAATTACTAAAAATTATAGAATTACACAAAATTACCAAAAGCTAATAAGTCCATTGCCAGTTAGTCAAATAAAGTGTGATGCATTTGTAAAATGAAATTATTATTCAAAAATGAAAATATAAATGGCATCAGTGACACTACTAAATTTCACAAATGTAATATGAGCAAAAGAAACTAGTCATAAAAAATACTGCATGACTTCATTCATATATAATTCAAAAGCATTCACAAATTATCTGTGCTGTTAGGAAGAAGAATGTGGTTGGAACAAGAGGGGATACTTAAGTGTTATTAACAGTCTACTTCTTGACCTTGGTGGCTATGTGTTACATTGATATCTTAAGACTGCTGTAACAAATCATCCCAAACTAGATTGATTACAACAACCATTTTGTTTTTTTTCTTCACAGCTCTGGAGGCCAGAAGTCTTAAGTCAAGGTGTCAATGGGGCTGTGCTCCCTCTGAAGGCTCTGGGGAAGAATCCTTTTTTCCTCTTCCACTTGGTTTCTGTTGTTTCTTGGCTTGTGGTTGCACAATTCCAAGATAGTCTCTGTGTCTCTGTCTTACCCTTTTCTGTCCTTTATAAATTGCTATGAATTTAAGGCCCACCACCCAGATATACAGGATGATAACATCTCAAAATCTGTTGCTTAATTACATTTGCAAAAACCCTTTTCCAAATAAAGTCACATACATAGTTTCTGGGTATTAGGATATGGGCTTTTCTTTTTGAAGCCACCACTCAACCCACTACATGTGAGCCTGTTCACTTTGTAAATAGTCTCTGAACTGTATACTTGTGATTGAGTACTTTCCTCCTTATGGATTCTACTTCTTAAAAAATGTTTAAATGATTAATGCCTCTTATATTTTATAAGTTTTCCAGTTAATTATGCAAATATTGTTTGATTTGGCATGTATTGGACATTGTAATGAGGAGAGAATATTGGTGTCCTCATGACTCCAAATTTTTTAGCCACAGACTATAAAATAAATCCACAAGCAGATTTTTAATATAAAACATATATATAAACATTGTGTTTAATAGAGATTTTTTTATTTTTTGACATTAACTTTTTAAAATTTTTATTTATTTTTTTCCATAAGTTATTGGGGTACAGGTGATATTTGGTTACATGGGTAAGTTCTTTAGTAGTGATTTCTGAGATTTTGCTGCACCCTTCACCTAAGCCGTATACACATCACCATATTTGTAGTCTTTTATCCCTCACTCCCCTCCCGCTCTTACCCCCAAGTCCGCAAAGTCCATTGAATCATTCTTAGGCCTTTGCATCCTCATAGCTTAGATCCCACATATGGAGTGAGAACATACGATCTTTGGTTTTCCATTCCTGAATTACTTCACTTAGAATAATAGTCTCCAATCTCATCCAGGTCACTGCAAATGCAGTTAATTCATTCCCTTTCATGGCTGTGGCGTATTCCATCATATATATAAATGTACAAAAATATATATGTATATAAATATATGCAATATATATAAATATATGTATATAAATATATACTATATAGAAATATAAATATATTTATTTATAAATATATGTATATAAATATATACTATATAGAAATATAAATATATTTATATATAAATATATACTATATAGAAATATAAATATATTTATATATAAATATATAGAAATATAAATATATTTATATATAAATATATAGAAATATATAATATATAAATATATATAAATATATATAAAAATATAATATATAAATATATAATATATAAATATATATAAATATATAATATATAAATATATAATATATAAATATATAACATATAAATACATATAAATATATGATATATATAATATATAAATATATATAAATATATAATATATAAATATATATAAATATATAAATATATAATATATAAATATATTATATATTTATATATTATATATAATATATAAATATATATATAATATATTATACATAAATATATAAATATATAATATATAAATATATTATATATAAATATATATAAATATATATATAAACATATAATATATAAATATATTTATATATTATATATTTATATATATATTTATATATATATTTAAATATATATATATTTTATATATATATTTTATATATAAATATAAATATAAAAAATATATATAAATTTATTTATCCATTTGTTGATTGATGAGTACTTGGATTGGTTCCATGATTTTGCAATTGTGAATTGTGCCTCTATGAACATGCATGTACAAGTATGTTTTTCGTATAATGACTTCTTTTCCTCTGGGTGGATACCCAGAAGTGGGATTGCTGGATCAAATAGTAGTTCTACTTTTAGTTCTTCAAGGAATCTCCACACTGCTTTCCATAGTGGCTGTACTAGTTTACATTCCCACCATTGGTGTAGAAGTGTTTCCTGTTCACTACATCCATGCCAACATCTACTGTTTTTTGAATTTTTGATTATGGTCATTCTTGCTGGAGTAAGGTGGTATCGCATTGTGATTTTGATTTGCATTTCCCTGATAATTAGTGATGTTGAGCATTTTTTCTTATGTTTGTTGGCCGTTTGTATATCTTCTTTTGAGAATTATCTCTTCATGTCCTTAGCCCACTTTTTGATGGAATTGTTTGTTTTATTCTTACTGGTTTGTTTGAGCTCATTGTAGATGCTGGATATTCGTTCTTTGTCAGATGTATAGATTGTGAAGAATTTTCTCCCACTCTGTGGGTTGTCTGTTTACTCTGCTGACTATGCCTTTTGCCGTGCAAAAGCTCTTTAGTTTAATTAGGTCCCAGCTGTTTATCTTTGTTTTTATTGCATTTGCTTTTGGGTTCTTGGTCATGAAATTCTTGCCTAAGCCAATGTCTAGAAGGGTTTTTCCAATGTTATCTTCTATGATTTTTATAGCTTCAGATCTTAGGTTTGAGTCCTTAATCCATCTTGAGTTGATTTTTGTATAAGGTGAGAGATGAGGATACAGTTTCATTCTCCTACATGTGACTACCCAATTATCCCAGCACTATTTGTTGGGTGTCCTTTCCCCACTTTATGTTTTTGTTTGCTTTATCGAAGATCGGTTGGCTGTATTTGGGTTTATTTCTGGGTTCTCTATTCTGTGGTTTCCACAGGTCTATGTGTTTATTTTTATACCAGCACCATGCTGTTTTGGTGACTATGGCCTTATAATATATTTTGAAATCAGGTAGTGTGTTGCCTCCAGATTTGTTCTTTTTGCTTAGTCTTGCTTTGTATATGTGGACTCTTTTTTGGTTCTATATGAATTTTAGAATTTTTTTTTCAGATTCTGTGAAGAATGATGGTGGTATTTTGATGGGAATTGCATTGAATTTGTAGATTGCTTTTGGCAGTATGGTCATTTTCACAATATTGATTCTACCCACATATGAGCATAGGATGTGTTTCTATTTGTTCATGTCATCTACAGTTTCTTTCAGCAGTGTTTTGTAGTTTTCCTTGTAGAGGTCTTTTGACTCTTTGGTTAGGTATATTCCTAAGTATTTTATTTTATTTACTTTTGCAGCCATTGTAAAAGGGGTTGAGTTCTTGATTTGATTCTCTGGTTGGTCATTGCTGGTGTATAGAAGAGCTACTGATTTGTAGCTCTTCGTGTACATTGATCTTGCATCTGCAAACTTTACTGAATTTCTTTTTTATCAGTTCTAGGAGCTTTCTGGAGGAGTCCTCAGGGTTTTCAAGATAAACAATCATATCATCAGCAAACAGTGACAGTTTGACTTCCTCTTTACTGATTTGGATGCCATTTATTTCTTTCTCTCTTCTGATTGCTCTGGCTAGGGCTTCCAGTACTATGTTGAAGAGGAGTGGTGAGAGTGGGCATCCTTGGCTTGTTCCAGTTAACAGATAGAATGCTTTCAACTTTTCCCCATTCAGTATTATGTTGGCTGTGGGTTTGTCATAAATGGCTTTTATTACTTTAAGGTATGTACCTTGTATGCCAATTTTGCTGAGAGTTTTAATCATAAAGGGATGTGGATTTTGTCAAATGCTTTTTCTTCATCTATTGAGATAATCACCTGATTGTTGTTTTTAATTCTGTTTATGTGGTGTATCACATTTCTTGACTTGATGTTAAACCATCCCTGCATTCCAGGTATGAAACCCATTTGATCATGGTGGATTATCTTTTTGATATATTGTTGGATTTGGTTAGCTAGTATTTTGTTAAGGATTTTAGCAAGGATATCAGCCTGCAGTTTTCTTTTTTGGTTATGTCTTTTCCTGATTTTGCTATTAGGGTGAGGCTGGCTTCATACAATGAATTAGAGAGGGTTCCTTCTTTCCATATCTTGTGGAATAGTGTCAAAAAGATTGATATCAGTTCTTCTTTGAATTTCTGGCAGAAGTCCGCTGTGAATCCATCTGGTCCTGGAATTTTTTTTGTTGGTAGCTTTTTATTCATTATTTTCATTTTATTCATTTCATTCTTTCTGCTTGTTATTGGTCTGTTTGGGGTTTCTAATTCTTCCTGATTTATGCTAGGAAGGTTGTATTTTTCCAGGAGTTTATCCATCTCTTCTAGGTTTTATAGTTTATGTGAGTGAAGGTGTCAGTAGTCTTGAATTAACTTTTTTATTTCAGTGGTGCCAGTTGTAATGTCTCCTGTGTCATTTCTCAGTGAGATTATTTGGATTTTCTCTCTTGCTAATGGTTAATCTTGCTAATGGTCTGTCAATTTTATTTATCTTTTCAAAGAACCAGCTTTTTGTTTCATTTATCTTTTGTATGTTGTTTGTTTGTTTCAATTTCATTTAGTTCTGCTGTGATCTTGGTTATTTCCTTTCTTCTGATGGGTTTGAATTTGGTTTCTTCTTGTTTCTCTAATTCCTTCAGGTGTGACCTTAGAATGTCAGCTTGTACTGTCTTAGTCTTTTTCATGTAGGCGTTTACGACTATCAGCTTTCCTCTTGGCACCACCTTTGCTGTATCCCAGAGGTTTCATTAGGTTGAGTCATTATTGTTGTTCAGTTAGAAAAATTTTTTAATTTATATCTTGATTTCGTTTTTGATCCAGTGCTCATTCAGGAGCAGGTTATTTAATTTCCATGTATTTGCATGGTTTTGAAAGTTCCTTTTGGAGTTGATTTCCAGTTTTACTCCACTGTGGTCTGAGAGAGTGCTTAATATATTTCAATTTTTTTAATTTATTGAGGCTCGTTTTATGGCCTATCATATGGTCTATCTTGGAGACAGTTCCATGTGCTGTTGAATAGAATGTGTATTCTAGGGATGTTGGATGAAATCTTCTGTATATATCTGTTAAGTCCATTTGTAACAAGGTATAGTTTAAATACATTGTTTCTTTGTTGACTTTGTGACTTAATGACCTGTCTAGTGCTGTCAGTGGAGTATTGAAGTCCCCCACTATTATTGTGTTCCTATCTATCTCATTTCATAGGTCTATTAGTAATTGTTTTATAAATTTGGGAGCTCCAGTGTTAGGTGCATATATATTTAGGATTGTGATATTTTCCTGTTGGACGAGGTCTTTCACCATTATATAATGTCCCTATTTGTCTCTTTTAACTCCTATTGCTTTAAAGTTTGTTTTGTCTGCTGTAAGAATAGTGTCCACTGCTTGCTTTTGGTGTCTATTTGCATGAAATACCTTTTTCCACCCCTTTACTTTAAGTTTATGTGAGTCCTTACATGCTAGGTGAGTCTCCTGAAGGCAGCAGAGAGTTGGTTGGTGAGTTCTTTTCCATTCTGGAGTTCTGTATCTTTGAAGTGGAGCATGTAGACCATTTACATTAAATGTTGGTATTGAAATGTGAGGCATCGTTACATTCATCATGCTCTTTGTTGCCTGTATACCTTGACTTTTTGTTTCTTGTTTTTGCTTTTTAACTTGTATTTTTGTTTTATAGGTACTGTGTGATTTATGCTTTAAAGAGGTTCTGTTTTGTTGGGATTTGTTTCAAGATTTAGAGTTCCTTTTAGCAGGTCCTGTAGTGGTGGCTTGGTAATGGCAAATTCTCTCAGCATTTGTCTGAAAAAGACTGCGTCTTTGCTTCATATATGATGCTTAGTTTTACTAAATACAAAATTCTTGGCTGATAATTATTTTGTTTGAGGAGGCTGAAGATAGGGTCCCAATCCCTTCCAGCTTGTGGTGTTTCTGCTAAAAATCTGCTGTTAATCTGATAGGTTTTTCTTTATAGGTTACCTGATGCTTCTGTCTCATAGCTCTTAAGATTCTTTCCTTTGTCTTAACTTTAGATAACCTGATGACAATGTACCTCGGTGAAGATCTTTTTGTGATGAATTTCCTTTCTCTAGTAAGGCCACGGAAGTTTTCCTTAATTATTCCCTCAAAATGTTTTCCAAGCTTTTAGAATTCTCTTCTTCAGGAACACCAATTATTCTTAGGTTTGGGCATTTAACATAATCCCAGACTTCTTGGAGACTTTGTTCATATTTTCTTATTCTTTGTCTTTGTTGAATTAGGTTAATTCGAAGACCTTGCCTTAGAGCTCTGAATTTCTTTTTTCTACTTGTTCATTTCTATTGCTGAGACTTTCCAGAGCATTTCATATTTTTAAAAGTGTGTCTAAAGTTTCCTTAATTTTTGTTTTTTCTTTAAGCTATCTATTTCCTTGAATATTTCTCCCTTCACGTCTTGTATCATTTTTTGGATTTCCTTGCATTGGACTTTGCCTTTCTCTGGTCCCTCCCTCATTACCTTAATAACTAACCTTCTGAACTATTTTTTAGGTAAATCAGGGATTTCTTCTCGGTTTGGGTCTGCTGCTGGTGAACTAGTGTGATTTTGCGGGGGGGTGTTGAAGAGCCTTGTTTTGTCATATTACCAGGATAGGTTTTCTGGTTCCTTCTCACATGGGTAGGCTCTGTCAGAGGGAAGGTCTAGGGCTGAAGACTGTTGTTCAGATTCTTTTGTCCCACAGGGTGTTCCCTTGATGTAGTACTTGCCCATTTTTCCTATTGATGTGGCTTCCTGTGCACAAAACTGTGGTGATTGTTATCTGTCTTCTGGGTCTAGCCACCCAGTGAGTCTACCAGGCTCTGGGCTGGTACTGGGGGTTGTCTGCACAGAGTCCTGTGACGTGAACTGTCTGTCGGTCTCTCAGCCATGGATGCCAGTGCCTGTTGAGTGGAGGTGGAGGTGGCAGGCAGGGGGGTGCAATGAACTCTCTCAGGGTTCTTAGTCTTGGTGGTTTAATGCTCTATTTTTGTGCTGGTTGGCCTTCTGCCAGGAGTTGGTGCTTTCCAGAGAGCATCAGCTGTGTTAGTATGAGGAGGAACCGGGGTGGGCAGGGATCTTGTATGTGCCTTTGTCTTTAGCTACCAGGGTGGGTAGGGAAAGACTATCATGTGGGGCCAGGGCTAGGCGTGTCTGAGCTCAGAATCTACTTGGGCGGGTGTTGCTACCACTGCTGTCAGGGATGGGGGTGAGAATCCCAGGTCACTGGAGTCATGTGCCTAGGAGGATTATAGCCACCTTTGCTGAGTCATGCAGGTTGTCAAGGAAGTGAGAGAAAGCTGGTAGTCACAGACTTCACCCAGCTCCCATGCAAACCAAAGGGCTGGTCTCACTCCCACCATGCCCCCTCAACAGCCCTGAGTCCATTTCCAGGTGCAGTGTGAGACGGGCTTGAAAATCTGCCGCAGGCTACCCACCTCCCAGTTGCAAATGAAAAGGGCATGGTTCTACCCCTGCCTGTGGGGTCTGCACACTGAATTTGCACCCTCCCCCAAGATCTAGCCAGGTTTCAAACCCCCTTTGAATTGTTACAAAGTTCAGCTAGAGATTTCCTTCTCCCTGTGGAGTTTTACCTCCTGCTCCTCTGGTCACCCTCTCGAGGGATCTCTGTGGTGCCAGGCAAGAATGGCCTTCTAGGGGACCCGGCGAGCTCCCAGGGCCTTTCTGCTGCCTCCTTTACCTCTGTATTTTGCTCTGCTCTCCAAATTGACTGAGCTCCAGATAATATCAGAAATTTCTCCCATAAGAAGACCTTCAGCTTCTCCAGTGGTGGTGTTTGTTCAGGAGAGGAGGGTTTCCCTTTCCCACTTCCACAGTTGGGACACTCACAGTTTTTGGGGTATCTCCCAGGTCCTGCAGGAGTAGTCCGCTTTATTCAGAGGGTATGTGGGTCCTTTCAGGATTTCTGGTTTGTTCTTGCAGTCAATCTGGAGATAAAATTCACAATGTGAGCCTCTACACACTTCTCTGTCTGGAGCTGCAAGCTAGTCCTGCCTCCCATCAACCATGATGCAAATCCTCCTTCTGATGGAAATATTTTAAATAAAACAGGCTCACAAAAATTAACACTGCAGAAATCAACAACAAAAACAAAAATTTCCATACAAATCAAAATAAGAATTGTGGACATAATAATAATAATACATTGTAGGAGATAGGTCAGGGAGGTGGAAAAAATTATAGGGAAAGATGCAAACCTTCTTGGAAGGCCAAGAGGTTTTGCAAAGCTTTGCAAGAGAATAAAAGCTGAAGGCAGCTAACTCTCTTACCCTGAAGCAGAGTGCGAAGGGGAGATAACAAGGGAATGTAAAAGAATTTATGTAGATGAATTCATTTACTTTCATCTCCGGAAACCAACCTTTGATCATTCGCGTGTGTAGGCCTGCTTTCTACTCAGGGGGGCAACAATGTTAATTACCCATAAATTGTGTTTGCTCCAGGCCTTTGTGATTAAATCTGTACTGAATAAATACAAGCAGCTCTAACTTATCCGGGCTGCACTCTTGTTGGTGGTGCTAAGCTGTGCAGTTCCCTAGCTATACTCTCAGGCAAAATACCGACGTTTGCATACTTCTTTCATTTGTCTCTTGGCCAGTCTGCTGGACAGACCTGGCAGGTAGTGCCCCCTGTGAGGAATGCTGCAACAGATTGCAATGGAACCCCCAAAAATAAAGGTGAAGAGACTGCACAGTCAGTAAGTCACTGATGCCTGCTCGGGATTTCCAAGTTTGGGGGAATTTTCAGGCTAGGGTTTCATCATGGGACAACAGTTATTAGCTCAAAAGAAACAGTATATAAAAGTATTGAAATAGCTGCTTAAAGCTAGTGGAGCCTTGGTTTCACACGCTCAATTAAGAGACCTAATGCAAACTCTTGTTTCCCATAACCCATGGTTCCTGGAAGAAGGCACGTTAGACCTAGAGCTCTGGGAACAAGTGAGGAGTAGTCTTAAACAACATCATGCACAAGGGCAACGGGTCACAGTAACATCTTTAACATTATGGGCCTTAGTTAGGGCTGCTTTGGCCCCACTCTACCCAGAAGAGCCTAAAAAGCGAAGAGGGGAAGAACCATCACCTACCTTACTGCCTGCTCCTCCTCCCTTAGCCCCACCATTACAGGGTAAAGATACCAAAGAGAAAACAAAGGTTTTTCCTGAGCTCCCTCCTCCAATAAATTGGAAGAAAGACAAGGGATACACTACAGCTGTGGGACCCTGTCTTAGGCAAGCGGCATTAGAAGGGGAGCTCTTAGCCTGCCCGGTAATGCAAGATTGGCAAGGCAATCGGATGTATGTACCCATTTATTTTGGTGCTTAGAAAGAGATAAGAAGAATTAGAGAAAACAGAGCTGCTAGCCCATTTATGAGAGGGTTGAGGTCACTCTGTAGACCTCTTTCTATTAATGGCCACTGTTATTCCTCCCCTACCCCTGATGTGGCTCTCTCAAGATCCAATTTGCATAGAACAGTGACCTTTAAAGGGAGAGAAATTACAAAGAACCCATTAATTAATTGAGGAGCAATTAAAAGCCAGCCACCTAGAACCATCAAACAGCCCTTGGAATTCACCCATTTTCATTATTCCCAAAAGATCTGGCAAATGGAGACTATTGCATGACTTACAGGCTATTAATGCTAATTTGCAACCTATGGGGCCCCTTCAACAGGTGCTCACTTCCCCCAAGCTGATTCCTCAAGATTGGCCTAGAGTCGTTATTGACTTAAAAGACTGTTTTTTATACTATTCCCCTTGCAGAACAGGACAGATAAAACTTTGCATTTACTATACCAGCTATCAATAATGAAAGGCCAGCTCATTGATTTCATTGGAATGTACTTCCTCAAGGGATGCTGAAGAGTCCTACCATGTGACAGTATCATGTAAATCAAGGTTTTCTCCCAAGTAGAAAAGAATTTCCTAATTGCAAGATTATTCATTTTATGGATGATATTTTACTAGCAGATCCAACAGAGCCAGTACTTTTAAGTTTATATGCCTATGTCCAAAGGAATACACGGTTAAGAGGTTTAATCATAGCACCTGAAAAAGTACAGATGTCCTTTCCTTTGAAATATTCTGGATACATACTAACTTCCTGGTCAGTGAGACTTCAAAAGGTTAAATTGAACACTGACAACTTACACACCTTAAATGATTATCAGAAATTACTGGGTGATATTAATTGGCTTCGCCCACTTTGGGCATAACTACGATAAGTTACAAAACCTGTTTTCTATCCTAAAGAGCAATAAGCCCTAGACTCTCCCAGGTATTTAACCCCTGCAGCAAAAACAGAAATTGAGGAAATAGAGCAAGCTATTTCTCAGAGGCAGCTAGATTGCATAGACCCACAATATTCAGTTCAATTTTTTGTTTTTCCTACTAAACTTTCCCCAACAGGATTAATAGGAAACATAGCCCCAGGGCTGTGCTTTCTAGAATGGGTCTTTTGCTCACATACCAAGACTAAAACACTATCTCCCTATATCCAGCTAGTTAGTAAAGTCACCTATACAGGCTGCAGATGATGCAATCCATTGCTAGGTTATGACCCTGATGTCATAAGAATTCCTTTGAGTAAAAACCAATTCAAAGCAGTCTTGCCCTTATCTCTAGACCTGCAACTAGCACTCTCTGATTATGCAGGCCATATAGAACATGCCCTTCCTGCTGACAAACTACTTCAGTTCTTATCTCGTACTCCTGCAGTTATGCCTACAAAGGTAGTTCACTTCCCCATACTTAACACTTTACTGCTTTTTACTGATAACTCTAGTAAAAATGGGAAAACAGCTGTCTAGTGGGAACTGCATAACTCCTTCAGTCGATCGGGATTTATTAGTGCTCAGAGAGCTGAGGTTGGAGCCTTAATATTGTCCCTGGAAACTTTTTCCACTCAGCCCATCAATATTGTTAGTGACTCTGCTTACTCTGTTTACTTATTATGGAACCTTGAGATAGTCCTTATTAAGTCCACTCTCGAGCCCACCCTGTGTGCACTTTTTCTTCGACTTCAGCAATTGCTGGATCAACGTACACATCCTATTTTTATCACACATATTCGAGCCCACAGCTCACTTCCTGGCCCACTGGCTTATGGCAATAATCCAGCAGACCTGCAGGTTATGATGTCACTGCTTGACCAAGCCACACAATCACATCAATTTTTTCACCAAAATTGGAGCAACTTATCTAAACAATTTCAACTTACCCAAAGACTAGCTAAACAAATTATTTTATAATGCTCAGATTGCCAATTCACAGGCATGTCCCCTCCTTCAACAGGTGTTAACCCTAGAGGACTAGAACCTAATCAGTTATGGCAGATGTTATTCACGTCCCTGAATTTGGAAAACTTAGATATGTACATGTATCCATTGATACCAATTCCCCCCTAATTAGCTCACATACTCTTCCTGGAGAGTTCACCCAATATGTCATTAAACATCTTCTCTTAACTTTTGTGTTTATGGGGTGGCTCACAAAAATTAAAACTGATAATGGTCCTTCTTATGCCAGCTCACAATTTCAACAATTTTGTCACACATGGAACATCCAATATTCCACAGGCATCCTGTATAACCCCAAGGACAGGCCATAGTAGAATGTATCCACTCCACCCTTAAAAATATGCTCAGAAAACAAAAAAGGGGGAATATGAGTAAGGATCCTGCAACACTACTAGTGCAAGCCTTATTTACCCTTAGTTTCTTAAATTTAAATGATAAATTTCAATCAGCCATAGAAAAGCACTTTGCTAAAAACCTCTCAAGACATAAAACCCACAGTTTTATGGAAGGATGTAAATAGTAATGTATGGTGTGGTCCAAATGAATTGCTAACGTGGGGAAGAGAATATCCTTGTGTTCACACCCCCTCAGGTACTCTTTGGATTCCAGCATAATGCATCAAACCATACCATGGTGTGGCTAAGACCCAGCCCAGTACCAGAAATGAAGGAAATGACCCTGCAGGATCCGTAACCCCAGATGATGCTGCTTCCTCGGATGACACAAGCCCCAGACATTACCTGGGGGATAATGAAGAAGACAAATCAGGAGGTTGAGTGAACCTGCTCGGGACACAGATGCCGTTCACTCCAGATAATTTGTTCCTTGCTATGCTTTCTGTTGTACATTGCAACTCTCATAGGATATTGGTTTTTCTTATTCTCTCACTGTGGCTGCAACCAATACCTGCTGCATTTTATTAGACCCATCTTCTAAATCTGCCTTTCTTCTGCCCTGTTACCTGGGCAGACACCCCCTTCCCAGCCTCTAATAATGTAACTGCTTGGCTGGGAGGGCTTGACATACCTCCAGTGGTGTTCCTTACTAACGGCACACATTAGACTGTGGTGCCAAGTAACACTAGATGTTGCTCCTTGATTGGAAAAGAATATTACTAATTATAGTCATGTTTGTCTCATTTACTAATTCTAGGATGCAAAGCTGGAATATGAGCAGTAACTGCTACCCCAGACAAACCTGTTGCTGCACACATCTGTACTCTTCAGTCAACAAAACCTGATGCAAAAAGCAGAAAAGGGGGAGATGTAGGAGATCAGTCAGGGTGGTGGGAAAAATTATACGGAAAGACGCAAACCTTCTTGGAAGGCTGAGAGGTTTTGCAAAGCTTCGGGAAAGAATAAAAGCTGAAGGCGGCTAATTCTCTTACACACACACACACATATATACACATGCATAATATACAATCTGTACCATACATATACTATATATAGTACTATATATAGTATATATACTATATATAGTACTATATATAGTATATATACTATATATATCATATATATTACATATACACACAGACACACAAACACACACACATAGTACAGATTGAAGAAGCAGAGCAAGATGGCCAAATAGAACTCTTCAGTAATTGTCCATCCTGTGGAAACAGCAAATTCAACAATTATCCATACAAAAAAAGCACCTTTTTTTATAAGCTCCAAAAATCAGGTGAGCAATCATAGTACCTGGTTTTAATTTCATATCACTAAAAGAGGCAATGAAAAGGGCAGAAAATGAAATCCTGAATTGCTGACACCATCCCTTCCCATCCCCCAGCATTGACTGTTGGTGCAGATATAATCTGTCTGCTTGCAGGAGAGAGAGTGCATTGATCACGGGACTTTGAATTAGAACTCAGTGCTGCCCTGGCACAACAGAACGCAAAAACAGGATGAACTCAGTCAGTGCCTACAGAGGAAAGTTCTGGAAAGCCCTGCCATCATGGGCTAAAGGACTCTGGGGTTCTAAATAAACTTGAAAAGAAGTCTAGGCCACAAGGACTGCAAATCCTAGGCAAGCTGTGGTGCTGTGCTGAACTTGGAGCCAGTGGACTTGGCGTACATGTGACCTAGCAAGACACCAGCCAGGGTAGCCAAGGGAAGAAAGGAGAGGAAAGAGTAAAGGGGACTTTCTCTTGCATCTTGGGCCACAGTTGGGTAGAGCAACAAGCAGGCTCCTGGTATTCCTGATTCCAGGCCTTGGCTCCTGGTCCTGGGCCAGAATGGAGCCACTTGCCCTGAAGGAAGAGACCCCAGCCTAGAAGCATTCACCACAAGCTGACTGAAGAGCCTATGGGCTCTGAATGAAAATCGGCAGTAGCCAGGCAGCACTTGCTGTGGGCCTGGGGCACTAGTGGACACAGGGAGAAACTCCTCTGCTTGAGGTAAGAGGAAGAAAGCATGGGGAAGACTTTGTCTTGCAGCTTGGGTGCCAGCCTAGCCACAATAGAATGGAGCACCAGGTAGATTCTTAAGGTTCCCTACTCTAGGCCCTGGCTTCCAGACAGTATCTTTCAGGGCTAAGAGAACTCATCACCCTTAAGAGAAGAAAGCAAGCCTAGCTGGATTGTCATCTGCTGATTGTAGAGCCGCTTGGGCCTTGAGTGAACATAGGTGGTAGCTAGGCAGTGGTCACTGAGGGCCTTGGGTGTGACCCAATGTTGTGCTGTGCCAATAATAACAGGTCTTACCCAGCACAGTCCCAGTGGTAGTGGGCACAAGTATAATTGTGTCATCCCTCCCCAGCTCCTGGGAGCTCAGCCCAAAGACAGACTCTGTTTGGGGAAAAGTAAAGGAAGAGAACAAGAGTCTCTGCTTTGTAATTCAGGGAATTCTCCCAGATCTAACTCAAGGCCTCCACGACACCAAAGACTTAGATCTCGATACCCATGTCTCTTTGAAAACCTGGAAACCCTTCCGAAGAAGAATGGATACAAATAAGCCCAGACTGTGAAGATTACAATAAATATCTAATTTTTCATTGCCCAGACAATGATGAACATCCATGAGCATCAAGATCATCCAGAAAAACATGAACTCACCAAACAAATGAAATAAATGAAATAAGGCACCAGTGACCCATCCTGGAGAGACAGAGACATGTTACTTTTCAGACAGATAATTCAAAATAGCTATTTTGAGGAAGCTCAATAAAATATAAGATAACACAGAGGAGAAATTAAGAATTCTGCCAGATAAATTAAACAAAGAGATTGAAATAATTAAAAAAGAATTAAGCAGAAACTCTGGAGCTGAAAAATGCAATTGATATACTGCAGAATGCATTAGAGTCTCTTAATAGCAGAATTAATCAAGTAGAAGAAAGAATTAGTGAACTTAAAGTCAGGCTATTTGAAAACACACAGGCAGAGGAGACCAAAAATAAAAATAAAAATAAATAAATGAAGCATGCCTATGAGATCTAGAGAATAACCTCAAAAGGGCAAATCTAAGATTTATGGGCCTTAAAGAAGAGGTACAAAGAGAGATTGGGGTAAGAAAATCTATTCAAAGGGATAATAACAGAGAACTTCCCAAACCTAGAGAAAGATATCAATATTCAAGAACAAGAAGATTATAGAACACCAAGCAGATTTAATCCAAATACACCTACATCAAGGCATTTAACAATCAAATTCCCAAAGGTCGAAGATAAAGAAAGAATCCTAAAAGCAGCAAGGGAAAACAAACAAATAATATACAAAGGAACTTCAATACATGTGGCATTAGCCTTCTCAGTGGAAACCTCAGAGGAGACTTCTCCTCTCCTTACAGGCCAGGAGAAAATTGCATGATATGTTTAAAGTACTGAAGAAAAACAACTCTTATCCTAGAATAGCATATAAAGGGAAAACATCCTTTAAACATGAAGAAGAAATAAAGACTTTTCAGACAAACAAAAGGTGAAGTATTTCATCAACACGAGACTTGTCATAAAAGAAATGCTAAGGGGACTTTCAGAGGCCAAGGTGGGCAGATCACGAGGTCAGGAGATTGAGACCATCCTGGCTAACATGGTGAAACCCTGTCTCTACTAAAAATACAAAAAAATTAGCTGGGCATGGTGGTGGGCACCTGTAGTCCCAGCTACTCGGGAGGCTGAGGCAGGAGAATGGTGTGAACCTGGGAGGCAGAGCTTGCAGTGAGCCAAGATCATGTCACTGCACTCAAGTCTGGGCGACAGAGCGAGACTCTGTCTCAAAAAAAAAAAAAAGAAAAAAGAAAAAAAAGAAATGCTAAGGGGAGTTCTTCAGTCTGGAATAAAAGGAGGTTAATGGTAAATATAAATTATCTGAAGGTACAAACCTCATTTGTAATAGTTAGCACACAGAAAAATACAGAATATTATAACACTAATTGTGGTATGTAAACTACTCGTAACTTGGGTAGAAAGACTAAAAGATGAACTTATCAAAAATAAAACTATAACAACTTTTCAAGACATAGACATCTTATTATATCTTATATAATAAGATATACTTAGAAACAATAAGAAGCTAAAAATGGGGGAATGAAGTTAAAGTGTACAGTTTTTATTAGTTTTCTCTTTGTGTGTTTATTTCTGCAATCAGTGCTAAGTTGTAATCAGTTTACAATAATAGATTGTTAGGTATTATTTGCAAGCCTTACAGTAACCTCAAATTAAACAATCTATAACAGGTACAAAGAAAAAGCAAAAAAGTAAAACGTACCACCAACAAAAGTCACCTTCAACAAAAGGAAGACCGGAGGGAGGGAAAGAGGAAAGAGAAGACAACAAAACAATCAGAAAACAAATAACAATATGGCAGGAGTAAGTTCTTACTTATCAGTAGTAACATTAGTATAAATAAATTAAACTCTCCAATCAAAAGATGTATAGTGGCTGAATAGACAAAAAATAAAAAGAAAAAAGACCCAATGATTTGTTGCCTACAAGAAATATACCTCACCCATAAAGACACACAGACTAAAAATGAAGGGGTGGAAAAGTATATGTAATGGAAATGGAAACCCAAAAAGAGCTGGAGTAGGTATACTTATATCAAATAAAATAGATTTCAACACAAAAACTGTAAAGAGAGACAAGAAGTTCCTATATAATGACAAAGGGTAAATAGAGTAAGAGGATACAATTGTAAATATATATGCATTCAACACTGGAGGACACAGATATATAAAGCAAATATTATTAGAAATAAAGAGAGGATAGGCACAAATATAATAATAGCTGGAGACTTCAACACTCTACTTTCAGCATAGAACATATCATCCAAACAGAAAATCAACAAAGAAACATTGACCTTAATCTGCACTATAGACCAAATGGACTTAATAGATGTTAAGAGAACATTTCATCATATGGCTACAGAATATGCATTCTTCCGCTCAGTAAATGGGTCATTCTCAAGCATAAACTATACATTAACTCACAAAACAAGCCAAAAATTTAACAAAACCTGAAATAATATCAAGTATCTAATCTGACCACAAAGAAATGAAACTAGAAAGAAAATGTGGTACATATACACCATGGAATACCATGCAGCCATAAAAAAAAATCATGTTCTTTACAAGGACATGGATGGGGCCACTGTCCTTAGCGAACTAACACAGGAACAAAAAACAAATATTGCATGTTCTCACTTATAAGTAGGAGCTAAATGATGAGAATGTACGGACACATAGAGGGGAACAAGAGATACCGAGGCCAACTGGATGGTGGAAGTTGCGAGAAGGAAGATGATCAGTAAAAATGACTATTGGGTACTGGACTTAGTACCTGAGTGATGAAATAATCAGTTCAACAAACCCCTGTAACACAAGCTTACCAATATAACAAAATTGCACATGTGCCCCGGACTTAAAGTAAAAGTTAAAAAATAAAGAAATCAATAACCAAAGGAATTTTGGAAACTTCACAAACACATAGAAATTAAGCAATATGCTCTTGAATGGCCAGTGGGTCAATGAAGAAATTAAGAAAAAAATTTAGAAATTTTTAGAAACAAAAGAAAGTGAAAACACAATATACCCAAATGAATGGGATACAATGAAAACAGTACTAAAAGGAAAATTTATAGCCATAAGTGCCTACATCACAAAAGTAGAAAAACTTCAAACAAGCATCCTAATAATGCATCTTAAAGAATTAGAAAAGAAAAAGCAAACCAAACCCAAAATTAGTAGAAGAAAAGAAATATGATCAGAGAAGAAATAAATGAAATTAAAACCAAGAAAACAATATAAAGGATGAATGAAATCAAAAGTTTGTTTTTAGAAAAGGTAAACAAAATTGGCAAACCTTTAGCCTGACTATAAAAAAGAGAATACTCAAATAAATGAACTCAGAGATGAAAAAGATATTACAGCCAATACCACAGAAATTCAAAGGATCATTGGTGGTTACTCTGAGCAACTATATGCCAATAAATTGGAAAACCTAGAAGAAATGAATAAATTCCTAGAGACATACAACCTACAGGATTGGACCATAAAAAAATTTAAAACCTGACCAGTAACAAGTAATGAGATTGAAACTGAAATAGTCTCATAGCAAAGAAAAGCCCAGGACCCAATGGCCACTGCTGAATTTTACCAAACATTTAAAGAACTAATGCTATTCAAACTATTACAAAAAATAGAGGAAGAATGAATACTTCCAAACTCATTCCTCAAGGCCAGAATTAACCTGGTATCAAAACCAGAAAATGACACATCAAAAAAAGAAAACCACAGGCCAATACCCTTGATAAACATTAATGCAAAAATCCTCAACAAAGTATTAGCAAAGTGAATCCAACAAAATATTAAAAATACTATTCATCATGACCAAGTGGGATTTATTGCAGCATGTAAGGATGGCTCAACCTAAGCAAATCAATGTGATACATTGTAGTAACAGAATGAAAGACAAAACTATATGATCATTTCAATCGATGCTGAAGAAAATTCAATAAAATTCAACATCTCTCCATAATAAAAGCCCTCAAAAAACTAGGAATAGAAGAAACATACCTCAGTACAATAAAAGCCATATATAACACACACACAGCTAATATCATACTGAATGGGAAAAAACTGAAAGCCTTTCCTCTAAGATCTGGATAATGACAAGGATGCCAACTTTTATGACTGCTATTTAACATAATGCTGGCAGTTCTAGATAGAGAAATCAGGCAAGAGAAAGAAATACAAGATATCCAAATTGGAAAGGAAGAGTCAAATTATCCTTGTTTGTAGATAATATGATCTTATATATGGAAAAACCTAAAGACTACACACACACACACACACACACACACACACACACACACAAAACTATTAGAACTGATAAAAAAAAATCAGTAAAGTTACAGGATACAAAATCAATATACAAAATTAGTAGCATTTCTATATGCCAACAGTGAACAATGTGAAAAAAGAAATTTAAAAAGTAATCCCATTTACAATAGCCACACATAAAATTGAATATCTAGAATTTAACTTAACCAAACAAAGTGAAAGATTTTTATAATGAAAACCATAAAACACTAAGGAAGGAAATTGAAGAGAACACCAAAAAACAAAAACAAAAACAAACAAACAAACAAACAAACAAAAATGGAAAAATATTCCATGATTCATGGATTGGAAGAATTAATAGTATTAAAACATCCTTACTACCCAAAGCAATCTACAGATTTAATGCAATCCCCATCAAAATACCAATGACCTTCTTCACAGAACCAGAAAAAAAAATCCTAAAATTTATATGAAACCACAAAATACCTAGAATAGCAAAAACTATTCTGAGTAAAAAGAATGAAACTGGAGGAATCACATTACCTGACTTCAAATTATACTACAGAGCTATAGTAACTGAAAATGCTTGGTACTGGCATAAAAACAGACCCATAGACCAATGGAACAGGATGGAGAACCTAGAAACAAATTGATACATCTACAGTGAACTCATTTTCAACAAAGGTGTCAATAACATACATTGGGGAAAGGACATTCTCTTCAATAAATGATGCTGGGAAAACTAGATATCTATATTCAGAAGAATGAAACTAGACCCTATCTCTTGCTGTATACAAAAATCAAATCAAAATGGATTGAAGACTTAAATCAAAGATCTCAAACTATGAAACTGCTGCCAGAAAACATTGAGGAAATTCTCCAGGACATTGGACTGGGCAAAGATTTTTTGAATAGTATCCCACAAGCACAGGAAACCAAAGCAAAAATTGATGACTACGATCACATCAAGTTAAAAGCTTCTGCACCATAAAGGAAACAATCAATGAAGTGAAAATATAAACCAAGGAATGGGAGAAAAGATTTACAAACTATCTGACAGAGGTTTAATAACCAGAATATGTAAGTAGGTGAAACAACTCTAAAGAAAAAATTCTAATAATCTGATTTAAAAATAGGCAAAAATCTGAATACACATTCCTCAATAGAAGACAAACAAATGGCAAGTAAGTATACCAAAAGGTGCTCAACACCATTGACCAGAGAAATGCAAATCAAAACTACAATGACATATTATCTTAGCCCAGTTAAAATGACTTTTATGCAGAAGACAGGCAATAATAAATGCTGGCAAGGATGTGAAGAAAAGGGAACCCTCGTACACTGTTAGTGGGAATGCAAATTAGTACAACCACTATGAAGAACAGTTTGGAGGTTTCTCAAAAAACTAAAAATAGAACTATTATATGATCCTAGCAATTCCATTGCTAGGTATATAGCCAAAAGAAAGGAAATCAGTATATCAAAGAAATACCTCCACTCTCATGTTTATTGCAGCACTATTCACAGTAGCCATGATTTGGAAGCAACCTAAGTGCCTATCAATAGACAAATAAATAAAGAAACTGTGATATATACTCCATATATATATACAATGGAGTCCTATGCAGTCATAAAAAAGAATGAGATACTGTCATTTGCAACAACATGGATGGAACTGGAGGACATTATGTTAAGTGAAATAAGCCAGGCACAGAAAGACAAACTTTGCATATTCTCATTCATTTGTGGCATCTAAAAATTAGAATCAATGAACTCATGGAGATAGAGAGTAGAATGATGGTTACCAAAGGCTGGAAAAGGTTGTTGGGTGGGGCAGGTTGGGAAGTGGGGGTAGTTAAGGGATAGAGAAAATTTACTTAGATAGAATAAATAAGATCTAGTATTTGATAGCACAACAGGTGACTATAGTCAACAATATTTTATCACACATTTAAAAATTACTAAAATAATAGAATTAGATTTTTAACACAAAGAAAGGATAAATAATTGGGGTAATGGATACTTCATTTGCCCTGATGTGATTATTATGCACTGTATGCCTGTATCAAAATATCTCATGTACCCCATAAATATATACACTCACTCTGTACCAAAAAAATAAAAATAAAAGTAAAGAAAAGGATAAAAAACATGGGAGGGAGAAAACACAGAGGAAGTTAAAAAAATACAGTGTGTAGTAAGCTTTTAATCAAAACACATTATAGGTGGAGACTAAAAACTTGCTGTTGTTTGTTGTTGCTGTTTAACAGCAGATACAGGTATTCTGGTGATGCTACTCTATTGCTTAGTTAGCCTAAACACATGATTTTTCACTATATTAATGGTATATCATAATTGTTTTCTGTTAAGTATTTATGTGTGAATAACTGTAAGAAAATTGTTGGTTATAGATTGCATATATATTTAGAGTCAGAAATAATGGCATTGCCAAGCAACCACAGATTGTCCAAGTAGGTGGCTGAGATAGTAACACCTTTGCTTTCTGATGGTTCAATGTACACAAACCTTGGTTCATGCACAAAATTATTTTAAAATATTGTATAAAATTATCTTCAGGCTAAAGTATATATGAAATGTGAATAAGTTTATGTTTAGACTTGGGTCCCATCCCCAGGATATCTCATTATGTATATGCAAATATTTTAAAATAAAAAATTTGTAATCCCAAACGTGTCTGGTCCCAAGCATTTTGGATAAGGGATACTCAACCTATGTTTCATTAATATAGCCACATCAAACACATTGAACTCTGAATCGTGTTCACATTATTTCATCTGAGTTTTCACCACAAAATTATTTCTCTGTGCAAAATGTCTTCCTAGTTTGCTGAAGATTGACCCCATTGTTTGTTCTTGGTGACCAATTTATGAATTAGTAGAAATATCACCCTCACTAAAACTATGCAAGAGAGAAAGGGCATTTTTAATTTTGTTTCATTTACCTCATCTGTTTTAAAATGATGTAAAGCAGAAGACAGTATTATTTAAAAATCTAGACTCAGAAGCTATGGGGCCTGGATTTCTATAGTTCCGAGATTTTAAATTGCTTCTCAGAACCATACTCCATTCGCATATAAGACAGAAATGATAATATCTTCTATTACACAGGAATATTGTCATTTTCTTAACTGCATTAAGGAAGAATTGTAAATGGATTAAGAAAATTCTTCCTCTTCTTATATTAGTGGAGAAAAACGTCCCCTTAGCAGACAAGGTGAGAGGTAAAGAAACAGAACCTGGAACAGGTACAATTAAACATATGCCTTTGTGAGAGACTAAGGTAGCATCCTTGTTTTTGCTTGCTTTTGAAAAATATTCGGATAATATACAGCATACTCTGGTAGATAGTTGTATACATCATTTTATTTATTTGTGCACTGTGATTACTAGATCAGAGATTTTTGACTATTAGTTTGACTGTTGAGGTTTTTCTCCAGGTCATGTTGATGGAAGTGATTTTAAAGTAATATCACATGGAACATATTGTCTTTCTGCTCGTGGTCTGAATTAAAAAATTGGCTCCCAAATTTATATAAGGCCACGACTTTTCATCTATATTGTCAATAAACATTCCATTCTAATAGAAAGAGAACTTTGTGAGAGAGTAATTTGTGGGACTATATAAATCCAATGTCATGATTCACTCCTACCCATTTGCTCTCTCTCCTTCTGATCTGCTTGGAATTTCTGGACCAGAAAGAATCACTGAACATATCGCTTGTAGTAGGCTATCAGGTTCATACTATGAGAGTAGGCCTATATTGATTTTATCTTAAATAAATCTGCAAAAGCCTAAAGGCAAGATCTAAGCTTTAAAGGGCTCGAATTTTCTTAAAGTTCAAAAAAAAATTGGAAAGTTATTTCGTGTGTGTCTGTGTGTGTGTGTGAGCTTTACGCATTCATAGTCCAGTTTCTTTGCAGCTACCAGGACAGAGCTTGGTGAGATAATTCTTTTATTCTTCAACTTTTATTTTAACTTCAATGGTACATGTGCAGGTTAGTTACATAGGTGAATGTGTGCCATGGTGGTTTGCTGCACAGATCATTCCATAACCTAGGTTTTAAGCCCAGCATCCATTGGCTATTCTTCCTGATGCTCTCCCTCCCCCTATCTTCCCTTCTGACAGACCCTAGTGTGTGTTGTTCCCCCTCATGTGTCCATGCATTCTCATCATTCAGCAACCACTTACAAGTGAGAATATGTAGTGTTTGGTTTTCTGTTCCTGTGTTAGTGTGTTAGGGATAATGGTTTCCAAGTCCTTCTATGTCCCTGCAAAGGACATAATCGTGTTCTTCTTTATGGCTACATAGTGTTCCATGGTGTATATGTATCGCATTTTCTTTACCCAGCCTATAATTGATGGGCATTTAAGTTGATTTTACGTCTTTGCTGTTAAGAATAGTGCTGCTGTGAACACACATGTGCATGTATCTTTATAATATAATATTTATATTTGTTTGAGTGTATACCCAGTAATGAAATTGCTGGGTCAAAGGGTATTTCTGCCTCTAGATCTTTGAGGAATTTTCACACTGTCTTCCACATTGTTGAACTAATTTACACTCCCACCAACAGTGTAAAAGCATTCCTTTTTCTCTGCAACCTTATCAGCAATTGTTGTTTTTTGACTTTTAATAGTAGCCATTCTGACTGGAGTGAGATGGTATTTCATTGTGGTTTTGATTTGCATTTCTCTAATGATCAGTGATGTTCAGCTTCTTTTCATATGTTGTTGCCTGCACGAATGTCTTCTTTTGAGAAGTATCTGTTCATGTTCTTTGCCCACCTTTATTGGTGGTGTTTTTTTCTTGCAAATTTGTTTAAGTTCCTTGTACTCTCTTGATATTAGACCTTTGTCAGATGAATAGACCGAAAAAATTTTCTCCCATTCTGTAGACTATTCACTCTGATGATAGTTTCTTTTGCTGTGCAGAAGCTCTTTAGTTTAATTAGATCCCATTTGTCTATTTTTGCTTTATTGAAATTGCTTTTGGCATTTTCGTCATGACATCTTTGCCCATGCCTATGGCTAGAATGGTGTTGCCTAGATTTTTTTTTAGGGTTTTTGTAGTTTGGGGTTTGACGTTTAAGTCTTTAATCCATCTTGAGTTAATTTTTGTATAAGGTGTAAGGAAAGGATCCAGTTTCAATTTCCTGCATATGGCTAGCCAGTTCTCCCAGCACCATTTATTCAATAGAAATACTTACCCATCGCTTGTTTTTGTCAGGTTTGTCAAAGATCAGATGGTTGTAGGTATGTGGTCTTATTTCTGAGTTCTCTATTCTGTTCCACTGGTCTATGTATCTGTTCTTGTACCAGTACCATGCTGTTTTGATTACTGTAGCCTTGTAGTATAGTTTGAAGTTGGGTAGAGTGATGCCTCCAGCTTTGTTCTTTATGCTGAGAATTTTCTTGGCTATTTGGGGTCTTCTTTGGTTCTACATACATTTTAAAATAAAATGTTCTAATTCTGTGAAGAATGCCAATGATAGTTTAATGGGAATAGCATTGACTCTATAAATTACTTTGGGGAGTATATCCATTTTCACAATATCGATTCTTCCTATCCATGAGCATGGAATATTTTTCTATTTGTTTGTGTCCTTTTTGATTTGTTTGAGCAGTAGTTTGTAGTTCTCCTTGATGAAGTCCTTCACTTCCTTTGTTAGCTATATTCCTAGGAAGCAATTGTGAATGGGAGTTCATTCATGATTTGGCCCTCTGCTTGCCTCTTGTTGGTATATAGGAATATTATTGACTTTTGCACATTGACTTTGTATTCTGAGACTTTGCTGAAGTTGAAGTTGTTTATTAGTTTAGGAATCTTCTGGGATGAGACAATGGAGTTTTCTATATATAGGATCGTGTCATCTGCAAACAAAGAGTTTGACTTCCTCTATTCCTATTTAAATACACTTTATTTTCTTCTCTTGCCTGATTGCCCAGGCCATAATTTCCAATAATATGTTGAATAGGAGTATTGTGAAAGGGCATCCTCGTCTTGTGTCAGTTTTCAAGGAAAATGTTTCCAGCTTTTGCCCATTTGTTATTATGTTTGCTGTGGGTTCGTCATATATGGCTCTTATTATTTTGAGGTATTTTCCTTCAATACCTAGTTTATTGAGAGTTTTTAACATGAATGGGATGTGGTTTTCTTTAACAAAGGCCTTTTCTGCATTCTATTGACATAGTCATGTGATTTTTGTCTTTAATTCTGCTTATGTGATGAGTCACATTTATTGATTTGCATATGTTGGACCAAACTTGCATCTTGGAGACGAAGGCAGCTTGATCGTGGTGGATAAGTTTTTTGATGCACTGCTGGATTTGGTTTGCCAGTATTTTATTGAGGATTTCTGAATCAATGTTCATCAAGGATATTGACCTGAAGTTTTTGTTGTCGTTGCTGTATCTCTACCAAATTTTTGGTATCAGGATGATGCTGGCCTCATAAAATAATATCCTGAAGGCAGGCTGGAAGGACTGAGTCAACCAACCCTTAAAAATGGTGGTTTTCCCTACCCCAGGAGGAAAGTTACTTCTAACATTTACATTCAAAATCAAATGTCATTACTCTTTGCACATTATCAGTTATGATTTGAACTTCTCTGGAAGAACATGAAGGGAAGAAAATCATGATTTTTCTGAGTGTTTTTAGTTATCTGAAATCAATTGGGTCTATTTTTCTAAATGTTTTATAGCATTAGGCATCAGTACTTGCCTTAAGAAACTATATAACTGTTTTAGTTCTAATATTATTCAGAATTGCCATATTTACTATTCAATAGCTACTGAAGGAAGATCTATCATTGATAGTAATAACTACATTAGGTTTCTGGCTTGCTAAGGTTCTATTATTGACTGAAAATGTCTCCCTCCTCATTTGTTTATTTTTTTTCTAACTTTGGAAAGACAGAGAAAACAAAAATTCAACATGGTATATTAATTCAGGAAGAATACTGGGAGAGCATATATCCTATTTTCTATATTTAAAAATAAGAAAATCAAAGTAACTGTGGGTTAAGGAATGTATTTAAACCAATCAACTAATTAGGAATTTTCAGTCATACACAGATATCTACTTGTGTCTATCAGTTTAACACTCCTTAAAATATATTAGTAGCTCAGCTTTATGGTTCTGATTCACTGAAATGAAACTGGAGAAATAAAATCTGGAGGTCAAGTGGGTTGTCAAGTTTATATTTTTGTTAAGTATAGGTACTGAGCTTTAAAAAACTTTAAATATTTTATCTACTATTGCTAATAATTTCACTAAAGGTAGAAATTTTACCACCAATAATATAAGCAATACATAATCTTGAAAGAAATAATAATCCTTCACATTTGATATAACCAGTTCTATAAATAACTCTGTTCCTTTTGATCCATTTTGTTGATGAATAATGAAAACTTCATTTTTAATTATCAAAATTAAGTTCAAGTGTGCATAGTGAGAAACCATTTCAAGTATTATATTCTCTAGGTAGGAAAAATAGCCTAACATGAGGACACATAAGGAAATTTTAGGGTGGTTGCTTTATGCTAGGACCTGGCTGCCAAAGTGTAAACTAAAAATTTATGAAGACTAAGTTAAATATTGATTCATAATATTTAATCATTAATCAAATTAAATGGCATTTAGTTTTAAAAATTAAGCAACATTTCCTGAGATCTGCAATTTTACTCACGAGTTTCTTTGCCTAACTCCTTCCAGACACATATTTTGGAAAAATTTTCTTTATAGGAATAAGGAAAGTTGTGTTATATCCTTGAACAATTAGGTTTTTCTGGCTTATCCCTTTTTATTTTATTTTATTTTTTTATTTTTATTTTTTATACTTAAGTTTTAGGGTACATGTGCACAGTGTGCAGGTTAGTTAACATATGTACACATGTGCCATGTTGGTGTGCTGCACCAAGTAACTCGTCATTTAACATTAGGTATATCTCCAAATGCTATCATTCCATGCTCATGGGTAGGAAGAATCAATATCATGAAAATGGCCATACTCCCCAAGGTAATTTATAGATTCAATGCCATCCCCATCAAGCTACCAATGACTTTCTTCACAGAATTGGAAAAAACTACATTAAAGTTCATATGGAACCAAAAAAGAGCCTGCATTGCCAAGCCAATCCTAAGCCAAAAGAACAAAGCTGGAGGCATCATGCTACCTGACTTCAAACTATACTGCAAGGCTACTTTAACCAAAACAGCATGATACTTGTACCAAAAAAGAGATATAGACCAATGGAACAGAACACAGCCCTCAGAAATAATGCCGCATATCTACAACTATCTGATCTTTGACAAACCTGACAAAAACAAGAAATGGGGAAACGATTCCCTATTTAATAAATGGTGCTGGGAAAACTGGCTAGCCATATGTAGAAAGCTGAAACTGGATCCCTTCCTTACACCTTATACAAAAATTAATTCAGGATGGATTAAAGACTCAAATGTTAGACCTAAAACCATAAAAACCCTAGAAGAAAACCTAGGCAACACCACTCAGGACATAGGCATGGGCAAGGACTTCATGTCTAAAACACCAAAAGCAATGGCAACAAAAGCCAAAATTGACAAATGGGATCTAATTAAACTAAAGAGCTTCTGCACAGCAAAAGAAACTACCATCAGAATGAACAGGCAACCTACAAAATGGGAGAAAATTTTCGCAACCTACTCATCTGACAAAGGGCTAATATCCAGAATCTACAATGAACTCAAACAAATTTACAAGAAAAAAACAAACAACCCCATCAAAAAGTGGGCAAAGGATATGAACAGACACTTCTCAAAAGAAGACATTTATGCAGCCCAAAGACACATGAAAAAATGCTCATCATCAGTGGCCATCAGAGAAATCCAAATCAAAACCACAATGAGATATCATCTCACACCAGTTAGAATGGTGATCATTAAAAAGTCAGGAAACAACAGGTGCTGGAGAGGATGTGGAGAAATAAGAACACTTTTACACTGTTGGTGGGACTGTAAACTAGTTCAACCATTGTGGAAGTCAGTGTGGCGATTCCTCAGGGATCTAGAACTAGAAATACCATTTGACCCAGCCATCCCATTACTAGGTATATACCCAAAGGATTATAAATCATGCTGCTATAAAGACACGTGCACACATATGTTTATTGTGGCACTATTCACAATAGCAAAGACTTGGAAGCAACCCAAATGTCCAACAACGATAGACCAGATTAAGAAAATGTGGCACATATACACCATGGAATACTATGCAGCTATAAAAAATGATAAGTTCATGTCCTTTGTAGGGACATGGATGAAGCTGGAAACCATCATTCTCAGCAAACTATCACAAGGACAAAAAACCAAACACCACGTGTTCTCACTCATAGGTGGGAATTGAACAATGAGAACACATGGACACAGGAAGGGGAACATCACACACTGGGGCCTGTTGTGGGGCGGGGGGAGGGGGGAGGGATAGCATTTGGCTTATCCCTTTTTAATGTGTACCTGTTTACAGATTTCTAATGTATTTCTACATATTTTTCAAATGTATGGTGGGTTGGACTTAGAAAAAATTGGCTTTGACTTTCGCTGAGTTTATGTTCAGTAGATTCATGGATTACTTCCCTGTAGAGTGACCATTTTAGAAGCATCCATCACTTTGTCCTCATTACTATGTCTATTTCCTGAAGCCATGTGATCATTACAATGTAACCTCTGTTCCAGTAGGGCAATTATTTTGTTCAAAACTATGTGTTCATCATCTTATATCTCACCTGGCATGGAGATGGCACTTAAATCAATGTTTTTGAATAATGAGTGCATGTTAGAAGGAAGACAGACACACTTTTTTATTTTTTTCTTTCTTTCTTTGTTTTTTTTTTGTTTGTTTTGTTTTTGTTTTTGTTTTGAGATGGAGTTTCCCTCTTATCCCCCAGGCTAGAGTGCAATGGCGCGATCTCTCAGCTCACTGCAACCTCTGCCTCCTGTGTTCAAGCGATTCTCATGCCTCAGCCTCCTGAGTAGCTGGGATTACAGGCACGCACAACCACATCCAGCTAATTTTTGTATTTTTAGTAGGCATGGGGTTTCACCACATTGATTGGCCAGGCTGGTCTCAAACAGCTGACCTCAGGTCATCCGCCCACCTCGGCCTCCAAAAGTGCTGGGATTACAGGCATGAGCCACCACGCCTGGCCTATTTTGTTATTAGAAACCCTAACTGAAGTCTACACAAACAACCTTAAGCAAAATTTGGGGATTAATTTGGAGCAGAAAACAATATCCTTCATAACTCAAGGATGTTGTTATATATACAGAGTTAAACAACTCAAGTAAATTTGGGTGAGTCTCACAAGAAACTGAAGGTTAGAAATTAAATCATATAAATTTGCATAATTGTCTGTATTAACAGGCTCTCTTGACCTTGACTTCGAGTCAGTTTTGGCCAAAGTCCAAGGTATGTATTTACTTACTTCCCAACCTGAAGAAGTTCTATGGGCTAGCTGTGTTTCAATACCTGAGGCCACAGCTTCTTGCAAGGCAGCCCTTTCCACACAGCTCCCTCACTTTCCAACCTACAATAACTCCTGCTTTCTCTCACCCATTCAGGTTAGGAGTGACAAATTTACTACTACTGGTTACTCTATTGTCCATACTGGTATTATTACACCCTACCCTCAACTTTGGAAATTTCCATCATTAAACTCTCCCTCAATTACCCAGTTTGAGTATGTCATCTTTTTGTGTTGGCATCCTAGCTGACACAAATTCCAAATTAACTGTATCTAAATCTCTACAGTCATTTTTGAGAAAGATCCATGTGATTGCCAGACTTGGTATTGGTTAGGAAGTTTGTTTTTGTGACAGTGCAATTTATTTGTCTATCTTTCTTTCTTAGTCTGTTTGGCCTGTGATAATAAAATACCTTAGACTGGGTAATGTACAAAAAACAAAAATTTATTTCTCACAGTTCTGTAGGCTGGGAAGTCCAAGATCAAAGAGCTGTTAGATTTAAAGTCTGAGAAGGGACCTGTTCCTTATAGATGGCACCTTCTAGCTGCATCCTCACATGGCAAAAACGGCACAGGCACTCCCTTCAACCTTGTTTGGGTTTAGTACCCCTGGGATTAGTCCCCTTATAAACGAGATTGAAGGGAATGGAGCCCTTTTGACTTAGTCTTTCCCAAAAGGCCCTAACTCTTAACACAATCACATTAGGTATTAGGTTCCAACACATAAACTTTGAGGGGACACCAACATTTAGACCATAGTACCTTCCTTTTCCATTTAAATTTTTGGCATGATTTTTTAACACTTTTACTCCTGGGAAAGAAAGGATACTGTTTTCATACTTCCAGCTTTATACTGACATCTTTCTGTTAACTTGAGAGGAATCACAAGACTTTCCTCAAGTGAGCTGTAGAAAAAACTGAATTTAAAGTTAAAAAGAGGTTAGGGGTAGGAGTGTATGATGGCAACTTCCAGGATAGCTTCAATAATCCTTGCCTCCTGGTAGTTATGCTCTTGTGTGGTCTTCTTGTTAATCGAATTAGAGCTAGACTCTGTGAACAATAGAATATTAAAGTGTGTGACTTCTCACTCTATGTCATAAAAGGCATTGCAGCCTCTCCTGTGTTCTTGCATCATTTGCTCAGGGGTAGGTGACTGTCAAGTTATAAGGATAATCAGAAGCCCTGTGGAAAGGCCAATCTGGAGAGCAACTAGGGCTTCGCACCAACAAACAGCACCAACTTGCAAGTCATATAAGTAAATCAATTTGGAAGCAGGAAAGCCATCAGAGATATAAATGTCTGCAGCCTCAACTGACAACTGATTGCAATCAATGAGGCACCATAAACCAAATGTGCTCAGTCAAGCCATCCTTGAATTACTGATTCCCAGAAACCAAGAGACCACATTTATTGCTTTAAATCATTGAGCCTTGGGATTATTTATTATGAGAAGTAGACAACTAAAACAAAGTTGAATAGAAGGATAAATGTATATTGACTTTCATTCTGATTATGAAAGCTATAAATTGTAGAAGAAGAGGGGGGAAATTTCAAAGGGCCATTAATCTCCCAGGGTTCTTAAAATTCAAATTCAGAAACTGACTTTGGCTTTATTTTATGTGCAACATAAGTTTGAATTTGTTAAAGTCTAGAGTACTTTTTGGCCTGAGTTTCTGAGCAAGTCTGGAGTCATTGAGCCCTTGCAACATACAGGACTTTGAAGCATAAGCACAATTTTACTGAGTGGTATGAAGAAGCAATGAGACACAAATGGGATTGTTGTAGGTAAGAGTTCAGTCATGGAGAAAGTGAAGGGAAAGGAGAGGATGTCTGTGTCCAGTGGATAATTAGAATAAAGCCACAGCCAGAATATATGCAAAATTATTTTACAAATATGATTTTAAAATCACATTTAACACATGAATGCTTCCTTCAACATGTATTATATATCTGGGCTTTCTAAAATTTTTGTTAGCCAATCTCTGAGTAAATGATTGATTTAAAGTTTCTTTTAAAAATGGATATATTCAGACAAACATGATGTGATTGTAAACACATTAGCCTTTATCTATCTCTCAAGATTTTTCTGGGATAATCCAGTTAGAAATATTCTATCATGTTATGATATGCTAGATAAATGTGTCAGATTATTATTTTAGGGAAAAAAGTTATTGTAGATAGTTTCCTACTATGCTAAAAAGCTTAAACAGAAAGAGAACAATCTATGAAAATAGGAAATTTATGAACAGAAACAGCCAACTGGCACCCATGTTTGGGACTCACATGCAAATCAAGTTATTCCTTGCTTTCCAACACTTCCCAAATTCTTTTAAAACCATATATGAAGCTGGATAGCAACTCTATATGAAGACATCAGTGCTATAAATACAGACAGCATTGTGTTGGGTAGAGCAATGCCAGGAATTGCCAGGACCAACAGATAAAACCAGAGCAATTAAGTTTCCATAAACACTTGACTTGATGTTGAATCAACACTCTCCTTTATAAACAGCAGTTTAGCAAGAAATAAATGACAATTATACATTTCTAATATATAAACCATGCTGGTTTGGTGAAGTAATAGCATTCTTTTGCAGCTTTCTTTTTACAATGTAGTTTGTTGGAGAAAGTTGCTCAATAATTTGGAAGTGTTAATTTCAAGATCATGTAAAATTCTTTAAAGCCAATTAAAGTTAAGCTAAAGATAATTCATCTTATCTATGAAAGAGTTTACAGATAAGCTTTTCTATGTTTTTAGATTAACACCATCTCCCTCAACCAAAAGAGAAATTCTTCTAGGTATAGGTGAGCAATTTTTAGTGATGTTTAGTTCTCCTTTCCTGCAGATGGTTTTCTGGACATTCATTATATACTTTAACAAGACCAGAAAGTTCTATCTTAAGAGACTCTGATCTTTCTTTTAATTTTTATTTCCTAACCCTCACCCCAGAACTAACACAAAATAACTTATGACTACACAATTCTTACCTTATTTTTACTCTTTCCTTTTAGATATTCAATTGCCCTTTCTTAAGCAAGATACAAGAAAAATATTTTTTATTAAATAATAATGTATTCTTTCTTACAAAGAACAAAGACTTAATTCATAATTTTAAAAAGAGGCCAGCAAGCTATGACTTCAATATAAGCGACCATGCACTCACATATACAAACATTTCCCAACTTTTCAGAATAATAAGACAATTCAAAAACATCTGATTACACCTAGTTTCAGAGTAAATTTTCTATTCTCATATGTGATTTCTGTCTGTGTGATATTTCTTTCTTTGTTCTAAGTGTCCTGTGATATTTCTCATCATGTGACTCAAATGATTTCTGGAATTTTTAGTGTTTTACAATTTAGTGTTCAGTATTTCTAGACCTCTCAAGGTAGTTAGTTGCTTCCACATTGTTTCTGGACAAATCTCTATTAGAATTCTCCCAAATTGCAGAAGTTTTCCTTTTAACCAGGAAGGTCTTAGGAAAATGGACTACTTATCTTTTCATTCCCAGAGCCTCTCCAAGTATGTGACACATTATAGAACAGTTACCAAACTCCATAAGATTGTGTAGTTTATATGTTTGGTGATTCTATGTATCCTCAGCATCTAGAAGAGAGCATAAATCATCTTAAGACCTCAATAAATAATTACTGAATGAATTTAATAAAGTTGAGAAGTTTCTGGACCAGCAAGTCATTTTCCCTTACAGTGACCTTTGTTATCTGATTGTGGCTCTGCTGAATCATGCAACTAATCTTTGCAGTTAGTTCCCAGGGTAAAAGTTTAAAATTGGTGAGTTCCATTGATGATGTTGCCTTGGTTACAAACTAGAAATGTCCCCATAATCATGATTTGTAATCTTCACAGACTCTAGATTTGTTCTGATTATCATGTATTCATGCCTGGTGTCCACCGTAAATCCCTTGATCTGTTATAGGCATTTACCTTGTACTGACTACCTCATTGAACAAATCTCCCCTGTGGACTGTCATTTAAAAGCACAAATACACTACATAGAGAAAGGCTTGGTTCTTATCAGGACACAAATTTAAAGGCTGTGTGGACTTGGGTAAGTTATATAATATCTTTGTCAGTTTCTTTATTTGAAAATAAGATTCATAAGTGACTACCCAAAAGCATTGTTATAATGTTAAATGAGATTACATGCAAAGTTTTATTCTAATGCTATTGTTATCTAAAAGTAAATGTTAGTTATCTCCATGCTTTTAATAAAGGTGTTTATAAGCTGATATACTATCCAAATATAAAGTAATATTACATGTTGAGTTCATTCTCATGAACTTCTTGGGGAGGGCTTAGAAGAAACATTTTTTCACGTAGGGACAATTACCATAGGGTTATATAGATCTGAAAATGACAACGTAGGCATCTTTTATTTCACAAAATATTGAAAATGCTGCCAAAAGAATTAGCCAGTAATAAGGGGCCATAGTCAAACAGGTAGTGGTCCTCTGTCACTTTTATAACTTGACATTTTGTTTTCGGGAGTTGCTAGACATTTAATGGATAATGGCGATTAAAGATTTATTTTACAGACTGTAAGGCAGCCTCTATCAGAACCAAGACAGCATGAAGGAGAAATTGAGAACTAGTGATGGGCCCCAGCGGGCAGGATTTTAAGCTGTCCAAACTTCTTTCTGCAGTCTTTCCATCTGCCAGTCTCCACCCTTGTTTCAAGTCTCCAGGGTCTTCATGCTAGGTCTTGGACTTGTAAATTACACAACTTTTGTGCCCCACCTCAGCCCTCCTCAACTTCCCTTTGGGCCCTTCCTGCTCCCTCACTCCCTTTCCAGTTTCTATCTCAATCCCATTAATGCTTTGTACTCTCTGAATTATTCTCTCCAAAACTGCTTATGGAAATCTTACCTTTAGTAATATATACCAAAGCAACCACCAACCACCTTCCTTTTGTTTTCACAAAGACCTTTTACATATAATGCAATGGATCAAATTGACTATAATGAGAGAAAATCATTAGACAAGAGAATTTGGAAGAAATATGACTGCACACTTCAAATAATATCAGATAATCATCAAATAGCTGGTATTTATGTCTTACAAATATGATAGTTTGCACATTTAGATTTGTAAAAATAAGATGGTACTCACATTTAAATCTATAACTCAAGGGAAAACAATTTTTGTTTTTAGTGGAAGGTAGTTATCAGAATCCTTATCTTTTCTCTATTAGATATTCCATTGACCTCATCTCTTTTATAAAAATGATCATCCTTTCCCCACTCAATTGCATTTGAGACTTTGTCATAAATCAGATGACTATGTATGTGAATTTGTTTCTGTATTACATAATATGCCATTGGTCCATTTATCTGTATTTGTGTTACTAGTACTCTGTCTTAATGACTTCAGCATTATAGTGAGTTTTAATACTTGGTATTGTAAATCCTACAGCTTTGTTCTCCAATATTTTTTCAATGTTAAATCTATCTTATAGAAGAAAATGCCTTTATGACTCATTACTTTTGGATAACCAAAATTTCTTAAATAGAACACACACATGCCAACACATGCATAAGCACTAACATAAGAAAATAAAAATTAGCTAGATTTATTTGAATTAGAAACTTTTGTTTAACAAAAGCTACAACTAAGATAGTTCAAATAATAAGCCACAGACTAAGGGAAGGTATTCGTAAAACATTTGACAATTGCCCTATCAAGAACATGTAAAGAATTCATACAAGCGAATAAGAAAAAGAGCCAACCTAATTACAACCATGGAAAAAACATTCAACAGAGATTACAGAAAAGATGGGATCAAAGTGGCTGATAAGCACATGTAAATAAGCTCAATATCTTGTTATTAAACAAATATAAATTAAAAACTGCAATGAAATAGTATTACACAAACATAATAGATTAAAATTGAAAAAAGCTGAGAATACAAATAATAGGTGAGGGTATGAAGCTGATGGAAGTATGATTTGATAAAACTCATTTGGAAAAATATTTGACAATACCTACCAAAGGAAGACATGTGTATACCATACAGCCCAATAATCCCACTCTGGGGTATATATCCAAACACATACACACACACACACACACACACACACACACACACACACACAGTGAATAGCAACAGTGTTTACTAAAAGAGGTACAGAGAAAATGTTCATAGTTTTATTTATAATAGTTCCAAACTGAAAATAATCAAAATTCTTATAAATAATAGAATGATTAAATTAATTATACTGTGTGTATACCATGGAATACTCTGCAGTTATTAACAAATCAAACTTCTTCACATGCAACGTGGTTGAATCTCATAAGTATAATAATGAGTAGTGAAAAAGGTTAGACATTAAAAATAGATATTTCACTTATTCAAAGTTTAAAAACTGATAAAACTAATCCTAGTTATATCAAGATAGGTTTTACTCTTGAGGGCTTCAGACTGAAAGGGGTGCAAGTGACCTTCCTGGGTGTTGGAAATCATCTATATATTGCTTTTGGTAGTGGTTACACTAGCATATACATAGTTGTAAATCAATCAAACTATACACTTAAGACTTGCATGCTGTGTTATATGTAAGTTATACCTCAGTAACTTTTTTAAACAAATAACAGATTCACTGAGGTGAGGAAGATTAAAAAGAAGATGTATTTCTTGTAGAGTTCATGTTAATTCTTTGTAGAGTTAATTCTTTGGTTAAGGCAAGGAAGGGACTGTTCTTCATGTAAGTGCTTTCTGAGAAGGTCATGGTCTAACAATTGATTCTATGAGAGTGCATTCCCCAGGGCATGCCATAGGGCAGTACCCAGTTGTCCTCAGTCTTTTCCCTCATCTTTGATCTTTCCTCTCACAAAATATTAACTTTTAGTTGTTTATGATTTACAAATTTGTCAACAAGAAACACAATCTGAAACTAAAGGGTAAAGAAATACATTTAAATAATGTATCAAGTTGCTGGTATTATTATCTGGAAATATTTTAAGAGTATTGGCTTAAGATTGCCATCTGTGTATAAAATAATTGTGTTAAGAAGGAATTGATGCTAAAGCCAATGAAGTAATGCTTCTTCTTCTTCTGTAATACTTCTGTTCAGAAGAGCTACCTTTACCTAAGTTCAAGCAGCTATGTAATTCCTTGGTTGAAATGGCCTACTTAGTTCCTAGATTTGCAATCTTCCAGGTGGTAGAGAATAATTTATCCTATTGGAACATTGGGATAAGATAAGTCCCAGAGGTTGGACTAGGGCTTAGTATCTCAGTCTGGATCTACAGGGTCTTTTACCCTGGGCCCATTTATATTTTCACCCTCACAAACTCTGTTCCAGCTCTGAGCCATGCTCTACAATTCTAATCTTTAGGTCTGCATCTTTCTTACATCAGCAGGATTTGCTATTTGCCAAATGCTCTATTTCCTGCAGTTTTCCATCCCTTCGGCTTTACCTGATTTTGACCCATATGTCCGGGAATTATCCCAAGGCCCAAAATCTGTACTATTATAATTCTGGGGCAACAGAGATACCTTCATAATTTCCTGTATTCAATCCTCATTCTGAAATGCTTAATTTACTTCTGATGTTGAATTATTAACTTTTACCCTCATATTTTGACTCAGTCACCCCAAGTGACTATTTTAGACCTCAAGCAAAAAAAAATGACCCTCCAGTTTTGTTTTGTTTTTTTTTTTGTAGCTTCTTTTCTCTGAGAAGGTGTAACTTTGAGTGTACGCATTTTACCTATTCATTGACCTCAAGCCAAAGCATGGACTGAAAAATCTAAGGTCCTTTCTTAGCAGTTTCCCTTAGCATAGTTGCCCTAAACTTTGATCAACCAGAATTCATTGGATATGCCAACATGCAAAGTAACCATAATCCCAGGTGATACCGATTATCCCATAATCATTCTCAAGAGATCATAATAAGTTTTCTTCTGGATGCTTTTAATACTTGCACAGAAAATAAGTTCTGGGATTAATTTACCTAGATTTAGCATTATATCAAATATCTTATATCATAAAACAATGAATTTTTTCACACACTTTTGACAAAAAAAACTATATGTAAAATATGCAGATTGTGTGTGTGTATATATATATTTTTCTAATATCAGTAATATTATGTATTTTCAGAAGTCTTCTATTAGAATTAATTAGAGCCCATAATTTTTGTGTCCTTTTCAATTTCTTTCATAAGAGTTTTTCAGTTTTCCTTGTAGAAGTTTTTCACCTCTTTGGTAAAATTTATCTTTACGTATTTTCTTTGAAACACTACTGATTTTTGCATGTTGATTTTATATCTTGCAAAGTTATTTAACTTACTTATCAGATCTAAGAATTTGGTGGAGTCTTTAGGTTTTCTAGACATAAGATCATATCATCTGCAAAGAGTGACAATTTGCCTTTCTCTTTCCCAATTTGAATGCCTTTTATTTCTTTCTCTCAAGTGATTTCTCTGGCTAGAACTTCCCAGCACTATGTTAAATAAGAGTGCTGAACATGGGCAATGTTGTCTTGTTATAGGCCTTAGAGAAAAGACATTCAGCTTTTCTCCATTTAGTGTGATGTTAGATGTGGATTTGTCATATATGGCCTTTATTATGTTGAGTTATGTTATTTTTTTTTTTATGGAGTCTTGCTCTGTTGTCCAGGCTTGAGCGCAATGGCATGATCTTGGCTAACTGTGACCTCTGCCTCCTGGGTTCAAGTGATTCTCCCACCTCAACCTCCTGAGTAGCTAGGACTATAGGTGCGTGCCACCATGCCTTGATAATATTTTGTATTTTTAGTAGAGACGAGGTTTCACCATGTTGCACAGGCTGGTCTTGAATTCATGACCTCAAGTGATTTGCCCACCTCGGCCTCCCAAAGTGCTGGAACTACAGGCGTGAGTTACCGTGCCTGGCCGAGCTAGGTTCTTTCAATTCTTAGTTTGTTGAGAGTTTTTTGTCAGGAAGAGATGTTAAATTTTATCAAATGCTTTTAAGGAGTCTGTTGAGATTACCATATGGTTCTTTTCCTTTATTTTGTTAATGTGATATGTCACATTTATTGATTTGCATATGTTGAACCATCCTTGCATCCCTGCTATAAATCCCACTGCTATAATGATCATGGTGCATTATATCTTACATGTGCTGTTGGATTTGGTTTGTTAGTATTTTTTTAAGGAACTTTGCATCTATGTTCATCAGGGATATTGGCCTATAGATTTCTTCTTTGTTGCATCCTTGTCTGGTTTTGGTATCAGAGTAATGGCAGCCTTTTAGAATGAATTAGGGCAACTTTACTTTCCTTGAATTTTTTTGGAATTGTTTGAGAAGAATAGGTGTTAGTTCATCTTTGAAGATTCGGTAGAATTCAGCAGTGAAATCATCTGATCCTGGACTTTTCTTATTGGTAGAGTTTTTATTATAATTCAGTGTCATTATTCATTATTGGTCAGCTCTGGTTTCTATTTCTTTCTGATTCAATCTTGGTAGGTTGTATGTCTCCAGGAATTTATTCATTTTCTCTAAAATTTTCAGTTGTTAGTATATAGTTATCCATGATTGTCTTGTGGTCTTCTGTATTTCTCTAGTGACAATTGTAATATCTTTTGTTTTTCTGATTTTGTTTATTTGGGTCTTCTCTTTTTTATCTTGGTTACTCGGCCTATTGGTCTTGTTTATATTTTCAAAAAATCAACATTTTTTTATCCTTTGTATATTTTTTAAAGTCTCTATTTTGTCTAGTTCTGCTCTAAACTTTGTGATTTCTTCTGCCAGTTTTGGGTTTGATTTGTCCTTATTTTCATTTAGTTCTTGAGATGCATTATTAGATTGTTTATTTAAAATCTTTCTTTTGTTTGAGGTAGTTGTTTGTCAGTATAAACTTGCCTTTTAGCACAGCTTTTGCTGTATCCCCATAGGTTTTGGTATGCTGTGTTTCAATTTTTATTTGTTTAAAAAATTGTTTGATTTACTCCTTAATTTCTTCCTTGACCCAGTGGTCATTCAGGAGTCTGTTGTTTAAGTTCTACATTTTTTACAGTTTCCAAATTTCCTCTTGTTATTGATTTCTAGTTTTATTTCACTATAGTTAGAGAAGATACTTGACATCATTTCAATTTTTAAAAACTTGTTGAGACTTGTTTTGTTTTGTAACATATGGTCCATCCTAGAGAATGTTTCATGTGCTGATGAGAGGAATGTGCACTTTGTAGCTGTTGGATAAAATGTTCTATAAATGTCTGTTAGGTTCGTTTGGTTTAATATCCAACTTAAATCCAATGTTTCTTTGTTAATTTCTATATAGATGATCTGTCTAATGCTGAGAGTGGGGTGTTGAAGTCCCCACTATTATAGCATTGGAGTTTGTCTCTCCCTTTAGATATAATAATATTTGCTTTATATATCTAGGTGCTCCATTGTTGGGTGCATACATTTAGAATTGTTACATTCTCTTGCTGAATTGATCCCTTTTTCATTACATAATGACCTTCTTTGTCTGCTTTTGCTGTTTTGAACTTAAAGTCTGTTTTATCTTATAGCTATAAGATAAACTATAGCTATTCCTGCTTGGTTTTGGTTTCCATTTGCATGAAGTATCTTTTGATATCCCTTTGCTTTCAGTCTATATCTATCTTTACAGGTGAGATGACTTTCTTATAGACAGAATACAGTTGGGTCATATTTTAATCCATTCAGCCACTCTGTATTTTTTAAATTGAAAATTTAATCCATTTACATTCAATGTTATTATTGATATGTCATTTTGTTAGTTGATTTCTGGCTGTTTTGCATATTTTTTGTTTCCTTTTTCTCTTATTGTTTATCATGGTGGTTAGGTAGTTTTATGTAGTGATAACATTTGAGTTTTTGCTCTTCCTTATTTGTGTTTGCTCTACCAGTGGGTTTAATACTTTTGTGTGTTTTCATGATGGTAGATATCTTTTCACTTCCATGTGTAGGGCTCCTTTAAGCATTACTGGTAAGGCCAGTCTAATGGTAGTAAATTCCCTTAGCTTTTGCTTGTCTGGAAAAAACTTTTTTTTTAATCTTTCATTTATGAAGAATAACTTTCTTCGTTATAGTATCCATAGGTGGATGTTTCTTTTTTTTTTTTTTCTTTCAGCACTTGTTAAATATATCATCTCTGGCAGCAGCAGCTAGGTGCAGCAGACACTTCAGGTGGGAAATGTCAATGTGGCTCCAGAGATGTGGATATGCAAGGACTGCTGGGGCCCTGTGCAGGATGCAGCCTGGTTGGGAATAGGCTCTCAATAAAGGACGCTTCTGTAGCTGCCTAGCACTCAAGGGTGTGTGAAACCCGTGGGACCCACCGTGAACTCTCCTCTGGAACTGTGCCTTTGGGCAGGCTCCAGGCAACTCTTTGGTAGCCTCGAGGGGTCTGTGAGAGTCTAGAAGCATCCCAATGGCTAGGAAGCAGAAGTCCACGATGAAAATGTGCATCAGTGGGGGTCACTCACTTACCCTTTCCATGTGTTAAGGAGCCTTTCCAGGCTCCCAGTCAGTCCCAACTGAGCAGACTGCCTTGTTTTTCTCTCCTTTTTTGCTTTAGGTGTTTCATGTCACTTATCTGTTGAATACTAGATGGTCTATTTGAAGTTTAATTATCTACTCCTTATTTTGGTTCTTCTTTGTGGAGAAGGCAAGTGCCAGATGCCTAGTCAGCTATCTTTCTTGAAGCCCCTCCCCTCAGAATCTCCCTTTTATTTACCTTTTTTGTTTCAGTTACCTCAGGGTTAATATTATCTGCTTTACTAGATTTTTTGAGCATTAGAAAGAGAAAGGGACATTTCATCATCTGTGTCACCATATTACGATAAATCTTGAAATGTGAGGCTATGTGAACATTTGGAGGGAGAAAGAAAGGAAAGGAAATAGATGAAAAAGAGTGATAAAGGTGAGATTGTTTACATGTGTATGTTCTCTGAAAGAATTGATTTAGAGAGTTCTTCTCATATTGAGCATGTCTGGCAGTCAGCAGGGGAAACGTGAGAGCAATGGTAAACTACATCATTGGGTGAAAAAGCATGATTAATTGTCTGCCCTGTATTATTCTGCACAAATTTGTTAACTTGCTCTTTAAAAGTGCTTTCTTTTGTAAAATGAGAACCAAACTGTTAGCCTTTTTTGCTTCTCACACAGCAGGATTAATTCAGAAATAAACTTGGCAGATGGTGAAAAGAAGGTGCCAACCAAATTCAATAATCTATACTTATTAATATCCTAGAGTTAGCTAGCTATATTAACTAAAAATAAAAGAGAAGGTACATTAGCTCTGATTTGTCTGACTCATAATGACAACCATGCTTAGCAAAGTGATCAGATATTATGGAATATCGCTAAGTCACTTACATAAATTAGTAGTAGCAAGTTACTCCTCTTCTTTGTAGCTGACGGAGAGTTTAAATAGAATCTTTCTGTGTTCTTATATTAGTTTCCTCTTGCTACTATAACAAGTTATCATAAATTGAATGTTCTAAAATAAATACAGGTTTATTATCCTACTGTTCTGGAGGTCAGAAATTCAAATAGGTCTTCCTAGGCTAAAATCAGAATGTCAACAGGGAAACTCTATGGGGAGAATCTGTTTCCTTACCTTTTCCTGCTTCCAGAGGCTATCCATATTCCTTAGCTTGGAGTATCTTCCTCTGTTTTCAAATTCAGCATGACTGGTCAAGTCTGTCTCATGCTCATCACTGACATTGACTCTTTTGACTTCCTCTTCAACATTAAATACTCTTGTGATTACATTGGGTCCACCTAGGTATTCCAGGATAATCTCCCTACTTTAATGTTAGCTGATTAGAAGTTTGAATTCCATCTGCTACCTTAATTCCCTTGTGTCATACAATATGACATATTCAAAGGTCCAGGGATTAAAACAATTTATATTTTTGAGATTCTACTATTCTTCAAACAACAGTCCTGCCTTTCTATCTGGATCCCAATGACTAACACATTAAACCTTGTTCGGATCCTAAAGGTTTCTTTTAGGAAAAAAAATGCAAACACATGTAAAAGTGGTTTAAATAGTTTATTACCAGATGTTATCCCATGAATTGAGAATAATCTAAAATTGTGTTATTTTTCTTTCAGGGATGGAAATTAAACACCTCTTGTTTTTGGTTGCTGCTGCTTGCTTACTGCCTATGTTGTCCATGAAAGTATGTGAGGGTTGGATGTTTCATAATTACTTTCTAAATAAAGATAAGAGCTAACACTTTAATACAATTCACCATGTTAGAGGCACTGTTGTGAGGCCACTACACCCATTACTCACTTTGTTTTCACAATAGCCCTGTTAGGCAAGTACTCATCTTAATACCATTTTATAAAGGAGAGAACCAAAGAATAGTAAAGTTGAGTAATATGGCCAATATCTGAGGACTAGGACATGGCAGGGCCTGAAATTATACTTAATCAGTTAGCTCTGTGGGTCCATATCTATTTCATTGTGGCCTCTCTGAATAACACAGGAAAAAAACTGAGAATGCAGATTAGCTATATAATTTTTTACTATAACAAGAATTTAAAGCATCAAAATTAAATATAAAATGGAAAGGTGCCAACAGCACAAAGAGCAACGTGAGGAGCTGATTAGCAGTTTGAATTCCATTGGCTACCTTAATCTCACTAATAATTAAAAACAATAATCTCACTAATAATTAAAAACAATAACTTTAACAGTCACAAAACAGAAGTAGAACACTCAATGATATAATATTTTATGATCAGCCAATAATATTCACCTTTAAATAACTTCAATGATATAAAGAAAATAATATATATTTTAATTTACCCCAAATTTTGTGACAAACTGAAGTAAATAACTTTGGTATAGAAAATGAGTGGTTTTTATATTTTCGTAGGCCAGGTAGAGAAGTAAGAAATAAAAGGCACTTAGTTTTATTGTGGAAAGAAAATCCATATGCATTAGGCTATTAGGGTGTTGGTTTGGTATTTGGTTCCTATTACTCACTCTTCTTCCCCAGAGAGAGACTAGGTGGAGCTCCTGTTTAATGCCCAGTAATCCTCCAGTAAGCTGGAATTAGCGTCCTGAATTAGAGTCCTGAATAAGACTTCTTCCTTCCCTCTGATTCTCTGACCATTTTACTTCCCCAGTGAGGAAGGGTGACCTTCATGCTTCATAATAAGGAAAAAGCTAACCTGAAGTATAGCCACCATTCCAGAGGAATGGGAAAAGGGCAAACAGTCAGAAACCTATATTTGCCATCAAGACCTAGTACTAGGCTGTTTAGACCACTTAGGCCAAGTTCTGGGAAACAGCCTGGCCCAGATTGTCATGTGAAAGAAGAAATTAGTATCACTAGTTAAAAGTCCAGAGCAAAGAGCAGATAAGTAGAACCCTACCCGTCCAAGGGAAACCATACCCAATCCGCTTTTGACCAAGAATACAAAAGAAAAAGTAGAAGGCATTGATAAAACAATAGGTTGATGCTCTATAACAGAGAATTATTAGAATATTTTCATACATTTTATAGATAGTTTGGTCATAAAATAAAGGCTTAAGAATTTTAAATTTAAACAAGAAGATAAATTTAACCCCCAACACAAATTTATTACATAAACTTTAAACATGAGTCTGAGTTAAAGTAAATAATGTGTTCCAATTTGCCAACAAAAGTAGTATTATGCTTTCTTTTTTCAGACTCCAGGTAGAAAGCAAATAGACTAACCACCAGACCTGAATCATATTTTAAACTTCCACCAGTGGCAGTGTTTTTTGGGATATTAGGTGTCTAATTTAACAAAAATTGTTTTTACTTTTTATATAGGTAATTTTCCATGACAATCTGGTAGATGTTACACAAAAAGTTTTTTTGAGGAAAACTATAGAGAGTTGTGATCAGGTAACAGGCAGGCTGAATCGTCTCTGAGTTAATTAGAGACTTATCTGAGCACACGGTATACCTGCAATCTGAAGAATAAGTTGGCTTTGCAAGTTAACAAGGTGTACTATCAAAGGTACAGGCATGGGCAAATATTCTATGGCAGGAAGGAAACTGGCACATTCAGATAACCAAAAAAAAAAAAATCAGAGATAAGGACACATATCCTAAATAGAGGCTGAGAATAAACAGAGTATTCAAAGGCCTTGTTAAAGATTTTAGTTCCTCTTTTTATGAATGGTAAACTGTTGAAGACTTCTAACAGTAAAGTGAATCCATTGTGTCTGTGTTTTAAAATTTTTACTCCGAATGATGATTGGAGAATGCATTATGAAAGAATGGATCACGGAGTGGGAGAGAGGCTATAGACATAGTAAAGCATTAGTGGATTCTGGGAGGCCAGTTGAAAGCTAGACAGTAGCCACAATCAGTCCAGGTGAAAGAAGCAAAGAAAGGAAAGAGAAAAATAAAGAGTGTGTTTGTTCCTTACACCAAAAGAAAGAGTATTTCTACACTGAAAGTTTAGTCAAAAGAGTCAGCTGCCAATAAACCAAGCAGAATAAAGTCATTAAAACAATATTGCATATGCAAATTGAGCTTGTCAGGGATTTTAATAGGAGTATTTCTAATGTAGGGTTTCCCAACTTCAACCTTATTGCCATTTTGTATGGGATAATTATTTGTTGTGGTGAGGGCTGTTCTGGGCCTTGCAGGAATTTAGCAGCAGCATCCTTGCCCTCTATTCACAAAATGGCAGGAGCACTCTCCCCCTATCATGCCCATCACGACAACCTCAAATTTCCCCAGACATTGCCTAATGCCTAAGCAGCAGGGCAGGTGGATCACCTAGAATAGAGAACATATTATTGAAAAAAATGGAGGGAGGTAAATGCGAGGCTCTATTACTTGGGCAACTGTAGACAGCCAGAGTTGGCGATATTTTCCAGAATATTGATAGGGAAAGAGAGTAGAGACAGAGAACAATAGTTGAATGGGGAAGTGATGTAAATGAAATGATGGTTGCTTGTTTATCTGTTTTAAGAAATAAGCAGCATGTAGCCAGTAATGGTGGTGCACACCTGTAATCCTAGCTACTGGGGGGCTGAGGCAGGAGAATCGCTTGAGCCTGGGAAGTAGAGGCTGCAGTGAGCCAAGATCGTGCTACTGCACTCCAGCCTGGCAGCAGAGTGAGACTTCTTCTCAAAAAAAGAGATATAAGCTGCATAATCATAAATAAACACTGCTGGGAAGGGCCAAAAAGAAAGAGTGGCTGACAGCAAACAAAATGAAAAGTAAATAATGTAAGATTTGGGGGAATGGTAGAAGAGAATGGACTAAATAACACTGTTGGAGAATTGAGCCTTAGAAAGATTAGAAAGAATGACCCATTCACTTGTACCACAGAAGAGGAGGAAAGAAAGGGGACAGATACAGGTAGATTGACAGACTGGGTGAGACAGTTGAAGCAGCTGCCCTCTGATGGCTTCTCTTTACTGAGGGAAGAAGGATATTTCACATTCTGTTGAGAGAAGGTGGTTGTGAATGGGGGAGATTGCAAAAGTTCTACAATAATGTGGAGAGTGACAGAGTGAGTTAATCAAACAATTCATTAGAATTGATTAGCAGAGTTAAGGAACTATTTGAGGTCAATCTTACTGATTTGGGGTCATGCAGATATGTGTTGTTTTGTTTTGTGAGACATTTTTCTGGCAATGCTCAGCTGATAGAACAGGCAGGAGAATTGTCAGTCTCATCCGAAGTTGGGATGTTTTAGGTAGGCATTTCTAGATGATGGTGTGCAGACAAAAGATTCAATATTGCAAAAGGAGAGTTGTGAAAGTAGAGAACACAGATAGAGATGAAAGGAAAGACAAGAGAGGGCTAGTAGAGAAAATGAAGAATGAGTTAGAAGGCTCGATTATATTAAAGAACAGTCAGAATGGCTGATCGTGGCAACTTGGAAGAACAGGAAATTCCAATCAGGCAGGGAAATGCTTGACCAGGTGATTTGGGAGGTATGGTGTTTTGGGATGATCATGAGATATAGTAGGTGACCATTAAAGTGAGGATAAAGAGGACTGAAGGAGAAGTCTAAAGGAGGAAGATTTTAAGGGCCTGAGACATCAAAGGGTTGGATTCATCCATGTGGATGTTGAAGTCCTTTGAGTTGACTTCAGAAATCTGGGTGGAAAAGATGAATTCGTTTCAGGAAACCCAATTTCCAGGAATGAGAGGAAGTAAGAAAAAAATCCATGATAGGATGTTAAATAAATGTTCAGGAATGAGGTGTGAGAGGAAAATGTCATGAGTTTCCCTGCAGCAGAGATTTTGAGAGGAGCAAGGAGAGTTGTAATCTGGAAATAGTATGTGGAATCATGTGGGTCCGCAGCCTGTCCTCTAGTCCAAATCAGCATGACTTGCAATGTGAGAAAAAAGTGACATCATGTGAGTATGTCCACAGAGACAGTCTCTAGAGGAGTCTTCTGAATTCCATATTTAAGTTTTCTCCCCTTACCCTAAACTGTTGATATAAATGACAGTGAATACTTCTATATATTGTGTAAGTTATGATGCTAGATCGTATTCATTCATAAATTGTGCTGATGGTCATGTGGTAGTTAAGGAAGCAACAGACACCCCTCACATTATAGTACATTAGTTCTGCCACATTTTTTAAAAAAGGTATGAAGTACATGTGATATCACACACACACACACACACACACACACACACACACACACAAAGATTCTCTTTATAGCGATTAATGCTAACCTAAATACTTTGGTCATGTATTTTTCTTCTTAGTGAGTTTCAGAATAAAAAATAAATAAATGAAAAGAACGGTCACAAATTCAAGATTATAGGCTGAATTTGAATTCTATGTTTTACTCTCTCACACATACACTTGAGAGCATTGATGTTTTCTCATATGAACAGTAAGAAGACATAGAATTTGTGTTAATAACACTTGCAACTTTGTCCTCAATAATGAATCTCTTAGTTTGGGTTACCCCAGACACACACCTCTACACAAGGGTTCAAGTGGAAGTAGTTTATTTGGGAAGCAGAGAGTACAGTTGTTGCAGGGTGGGAGATGTGGAGAATAAGCCAGAGAAGTAAGTAACAGGTGTGATTTTAAGATATCTCCCTTTGTGGATCTTATTGCCCAATAAAAAGTGCTTCAACATGGTCCAAAGTATGAACCTGGAAAAACCCTAATAACAGGATAACAAGTGCATTATTCTGAAGACTAATGTGATGTCAGCCTGACGTTGAGAAATCCTCAAAATTAGTACTGGAGAAATGGAATCCAATATAATGAGACATTATAAATTCAAAAATGCTATAAATCACTGTTTAATATAAACTATAAATTTGCATTACCTATAGGTCTGCAAAATATATGTGACAAATTCCACTTAAAAGAAGTAACACTAATTAATATTTTTCTGGTAACAGAAGAAATCAGCTAGAGACCAATTTAATAAGCTCGTCACCGACTTGCCAAATGTACAAGAAGAGATCGTTAATATACACAACGCCCTCAGGAGAAGAGTAGTTCCACCAGCCAGCAACATGCTGAAGATGGTAAGATCAAAAAATAGCAACAACCATGATTGCAATAATAGTAATGGTGTTTACTGAGTTTTATTAAGTTCTATGCACTTTCAAAGTGCTAAAAGTTTTATCTTCACAACAAATCTTTTACATAGCAGAAGAAACAGAGGTCCAGAGAAGGTAAGTAACTTTCTGATGATTATATGGTTAGTCAATGACAGAGCTCAGCCAGTCTAGCTTCATTCCTCCACACCCTAAGACAGTGCTTCTCAACCTTTAATGTACTCAAGAATCACCTGAAGAACTTAGTAAAGCACACTTTCCTGGGTCTCACTCTCTGATATCCTGATTCATGAGGTCTGACCTGGAGACCACCACAAGCTCCCAGCTGATGCTGATGCTGCCAGTACACACGACAAATATTGATTAACAAGTTATCCATGCATTTCATAGCTGTCTTCATTGGGCAGTAGTCCAGAGGCTAAGACACTCTTCCTAGAATTAAAATATCCAGATATCTAGTTAGTTGATGTGGCCAGGTAAATAAATATTGGCAAATTTATCCCCCAGTTTCATTGCATCCCATAAATAGGAAGAGAAATTATTTCATTATAAACCTGCTATGCTCTGCTACAAGACAAATTTAGGGAAGTCTCAGGTGTTTAGGTGATTACCCTCACATTTGTTATCCAGCAGTATCACTCAGTTTCATGAGCACCCTCAGCCTGCTTCCTTGAACCCTGGACCGGCCTGTAGCAACAAGGGTTAGAAATAGTGCAGGCTCTGGAGGGTGATTCTAAGGAGCACCTTTCTCTTGCAAATGATGAAGAGGATGAAACAAGGAAATACATAAATGATTTTGAGATTTATCTCTTAATCACTTTAAAATCCAAAGGGGTATTTGAACTAAAAATAAAAATCAATAGCTTTCATAGGCATTCCTGCATGGTGTTGTAGCCAACATACATGTGTTTATTATTTACAGGCATTTTTCTAATACCTTGTTACATTAACTCACTTCCTTCTCCCAATAAAATTGTCTTCATTTTACATATTATGACACTGAACCTAAGAAAAATTGAGTAGCTTATTCAAAATCTTAAGGACTGGGGCCCAGATTAAAATGCAAGTGGGCCAGATCTGAGGAGCTGGAGAAGTAGAGTCCAAATTCCTTGGTTGCCAGATGAGCAAATAAGTTTACCTAGGAGGTACAAACAGAGTTAAAGAAAAGTAAAAAATATAGCCTCCGATTTCAGATTGGAGATGAAAGGCAAATACAGAAAAAACACTGGAAAAATACAAGAATACATATATTCAAGTACTAACACAAAAAGATATGAAATATCAAGAAGACGATAAAAGTAAGTGTACCAGTAAAACTGAGAAATATTTCAAAGGAAATACGAGAGTTCAGCTGCTCCACAAACAATGCATAGGACATGTATAGGATTAGAAGTAGCAACAGCAAATTTAAGGAACAATAGGACTGAAGAGTTAACCACAATTACCAGGCAGAGATTTTCTTTAAAAAAAAAAGTTTCTGAACACAATATTAGAACCTAAGTAGAGTCACTTGTTAAAGCTGGAATTCAGAGCTTTGGTACGATCATAAATACAAACTTTAATTTTAATTTTGAATATGTCTCAAAAAAGGAGTATCTCACCAACATTAATCAGAGGTAATGTCCTATACATCATCTTCAAAGTGCAAACATCCTGCTATATTTTAACCAGATAAGTTCCAGTTCCGGTAAGTTTTCTTTTTTTATTTTATTTTATTATTATTATACTTTAAGTTTTAGGGTACATGTGCACAATGTGCAGGTTAGTTACATATGTATACATGTGCCATGCTGGTGTGCTGCACCCATTAACTCGTCATTTAGCATTAGGTATATCTTCTAATGCTATCCCTCCCCCTCCCCCCACCCCACAACTGTCCCCAGAGTGTGATGTTCCCCTTCCTGTGTCCATGTGTTCTCATTGTTCAATTCCCACCTATGAGTGAGAATATGCGGTGTTTGGTTTTTTGTTCTTAGTAGTGAATGCCATGGTATTCCCCCAGCCCAGAGAGGCTATACACTGGTAGATGTGTTGTGTCCTCTCTGCTTATCAGTTAGACATAGCCATGACTAAAATATTTTTTTTTGTTTGAAACTATCAAAACCTACAAAACCATGGTTTTACCCAGTGCTAGGCTAATAAGTTATTTAATTCATCTCACGGTTTAGTAAATTCATCAACCCCAAGGGTAATTCTAAACATTGACCACAAGATGGCAGCAAATACATATTATAATTAAACTACATGCTCAGGACGACACTGAAAATGAGTGTCCTCCAAACAGTCTAAACAGTAGCTGAATGATTTACATAAAAACTTATAGTAAAAACAAACTCTATGACTTCTGTTGGCAATCTGTTATATGCACATATAAGGGTATTCTTTTAAATGGATGTATATGCTGCTGAACACCAGGGGTTCAGCCAAGGTCTAGTTGCTTGCAGCACAAAAATGAGTATTGCCCATTGCCTGGGAAGAAAGGCTTTCATGAGGGTGATGTCAGCCTGACTGTCAAATCCCTCCCTCTCCCTAACCAACCAAAGTTAAAAGTTTATATAGGAGGGACAGAAAACAAGAGGGACAAGGAAGAGGATTTGGTCAACAGGCAGCAGCTGTGTCTCCTTGACCAGGTGTGGTGATCAGGAAAGCCTCAGTTCCCTGCTACCACCTGCGGGGCCCGATGGTGGGTTTCCTGACAAAGGAACTCAGATAAGACAAATGTTCATAGGCTCAGTTCTTTGTAAAAATTGGGCAGTTTCATATACACCACAATGATAGGAGACTGTTAGGGAGATCATTTATCACAGAGTGTCATACTTACAGATGCAGAATTTCTCCCTTTCTGCATTGGGAGAACAGCTGTTACTTAGTCATACCTGACCAAATGCTTCAACTCAGCACAGTTGATGCACACTGAGAGTCAAGAACACATACTCTGAAGCCATCCTAAGTGGATTCAAATTCTTATTTTGTCAGTTATTTATAGTGTGACCCCGAAAAGTTACTTAACATCTCTGTGCCTTATTTCCCTTATTTACAAATGGATATAATATTTTTTTTTTGTAGAGTTGCCATGAGGTTAAAGTGAGAGAAGATACACACAGAATTGGTGACAGATTCTGGCATGTGGTGTTAGCTTTTATTTTTGTTATTCATAATTTTAGATGGAAATATGACTCTATACTTGCTTCTAATCACAGCCAGCATTTATTCAATACAGAAGATTTGTCACATCTCAGTTGTATTCCTTGGAATATCACATTTGAACAAACCTTTGGGCATAAATTACAGGTAACAGTTTCCAGATGGATAAACTGAGATTCAAAGAGATAAAATAACATGTCTGAGTTTAAACTACAAATAAATTACTAAGTAACTCTGGTCTGTTTCCCTGGAAGCATTTACTTAAATTCTCTACTACATCTGAGAGAGAATCTATCTCTGAATGTAATTACCAAGTTTTGAATTTGTGAATTCAAGGGCCAACATAATAAATTGAAATTGTTGTCTTTCTCTTTCTACTAGAACGTTTAATAGTAATCTCATTATTTAAATTTCTAGTTGATACAATTGAAGATATTATATCTCGTGGATTATTAAAAACAATAAATTAGAATCTTATGAAAATATTAATTGGAACATGTGCTTTTTTTTTCTTTCCACTACAGAGTTGGAGTGAAGAGGCTGCACAAAATGCCAGAATTTTTTCAAAGTATTGTGATATGACAGAGAGCAACCCCCTTGAGAGGAGACTTCCAAGTAAGTGTGTATCTATATGACCCGCCTTTGGACTAAAAAAAAAAAAAATAGTAAAACAGGGATTGTTATGTACCCTGATGAAAGTAAATTAAGTCATCTAGATTTCCTCATTTGCACTGGGTCATACAAGGCAGTGAATTGTGGACTATTACACTGTTTTAACTCATTAATTTTTAAGGTTTATATCTTTAAGTTTTCAGATTCCAAGTTCTGGAGTTTTCAGATTCCAAGTTCTGACCATCAGGAGAAATGAATAAAAAATCTCAGTATTGCAGAAGAGTGGAGTGAGCAGCTAGAAACCTAGGTCTCCATTCTGTGGAGTTACTATAGCTACTGAACAATAGCACCATGGGGATCTGCTTAGCTTTGGAACGATAATGCAGTTGAGAAATAAGTTATATGCAGCCCTGCTCAGCTGCCCATAAGACAATTTTAGGTGCTCAAAAATGAGCCCATCTTAAAGCATATAAATTAGGTAACTTACTGCTAGTTTCCAGGAAATAATAAAAAAAAACATTATTGCTTCTGTGTTACGCTGTTTTTGTGTTGCTGTAAAGAAATACCTGAGCCTTGGTAATTTATTAAGAAGAGATTTCATTAGCTTATGACTCTGCGGGCTGTACAGGAAGCATGGCACCCACATCTACTTGGCTTTTGGTGAGACCTTAGGAAGCTTACAATCATGGCAGAAGGTGAAGGGGGAGCAAGTGTCTCACATGGTGAGAGAGGGAGCAAGAGAGAGAGAGTTGGGGGGTGCCACATACTTTTAAACAACCAGATCTCATGAGAACTCACTCACCATTATGAAGACAGCACCAAGTTCTTTGAGGAATCCACTACCGTGAGGTAAACGTCTCCGGTCAGGCCCCACCTTCAACACGGGGATTACATCTCAACATGAGATTTGGAGGGGACATCCAAACTATATCACCTTCACTCAGGAATAAACATTATATTTTAACATGAGAATCTTTTTTTAATTAACATGTTTTAAAAATGCTGATTCACATTTATATCTACAGATTATTTGGAATCTTAGTCCAATGCTTTTTAGCAGTGAATTAGCAAAGTGGTTCCTGCCTGCCTTAAGAAAAGACAGATACTCCTGAATACCATGTTCAACCAAAAGCCCACACCATACATGAATGGCTAAATAAACAAATGTTTATTCAACATCTTTGTATTATGAACACCTGTGTGTAGCTTCCTTTAAGCCATAGACCCTGTTAGCACTCTTATGCTTCTCTGATTTGGTTTCACCTATCTAAAGCAGCTTGGAAGCAGCAGAGACTGAAATGTTGATGATTTGATTTCAAAACTTGTTCATCACCTACTATCAACGTTTCACCAAACTTGAGTACCACATGCTCATTCATCAATGAGAAAGATTTTCAGTGGGGATACAACTTATTTTACTCCCTCTCAGAAGATGTTGTCAAGATGATCAGTGAACCATTCATAAAATAAAAATGAGGAAAGTCTCCTTGTATACTATTTCCCATTTGTTCAGAGTATGACCCAGCCCGTTTTCTCATTTCAGATACCTTTTGTGGAGAAAATATGCATATGACATCTTATCCTGTATCATGGTCAAGTGTAATTGGAGTCTGGTACAGTGAGTCTACAAGTTTCAAACATGGAGAATGGACAACAACGGATGATGACATAACTACTGACCACTACACTCAGGTAACCTGTGTGCTGGCAAACACACACATTGTTTAAGAGATAAGCATGTGTGTGGAAACGTAACTAAGAAACAACTGAAAATCATTCTACCTTCTTATGGCAATCTTTACTCAATTTACTGAGTTCCTCTTATAATTTGAAATAGAAGGAAGTGTTCTGTTCAAAATACGACTTAGAGAAGATGCTTAACCTCTTAGTATCCTTCTTTACTCACTAGATTTTTCAGGAACTCACAAAATCATAAGACATCAATCTCATTTGATATTGGTAGTATTTGTAAAAGTGAAAATAATGGTACCTTACAATACAGAGAAACCCCTGATTTCTAACTTTAGTTTTATTGTGGTAAGATATACATTTAAAAAATTACCATTTTAACTATTTTAAATGGTTTCATGTTCAGCATTAATGTGGCATGAATGTTCAGTGGCAATAAGTCCACTCAAATCGTTGTGCAACGCCATCGCCAGAATATTTTCATTTTCCCAAACCGAAACTCTGTACTCATTAAACAATACCTTCCATTCCTCTCCCTACTTCCCCAGACCTCTGGCAACTACCACTCTACTTTCTGTCTCTGTGAATTTCACTACTCAAAGTACCTCATAAATTTGGAAACATACAATATTTGTCCTTTTGTGTCTGCTTTATTTCACTCAGCATGATATATTAAATCCATGTTCATCCATGTTGTAGCATGTGTCAGAATTGTATTCTTTTTTTTAAGGCTAAATGCTATTTCATTGCATGTGTATATCACCTTTTGCTTGTCTGTTCTGATGGGCATTTGAGTTGTTTCCATTTTTTTTTTTGGCTATTGTGAATAATACTGCTTTAAATATTGGTGTGAAAATATCTGTTTGAGTGCTTGCTTTCAATTGTTTTGGGCATATGCCAAGGAGAGGAATTACTGGATCATATGTGAATACTGTGTTTATTATTTGAAAAACTGGAGTACTATTATATTTTCTGTTGCAGCTGCACCATTTTACGTTCCCACCAGCAATTTACAAAATTTGCAATTTCTTCACATCTTTGCTCTATTAATCTGCTTAGGATGCCATAACAAAATACCACAGCTGGGTGGATTAAACAACAGAACTTTATTTTCCCACATTTTGTATCCTAGAAGTCTATGATCTTAATAGAGCATAGTTTCTAGTGAAAGCTTTCTGCCTGACACCTTCTCACAATGTCCTAACATGGCTTCTCCCCAGTGCAAAAGAGGAGCCAGAGAGAGTCAAGGATAGAGACAGAGACAAGAGAGACCATAAGAGCAAGCTGTCTAGCATCTGTTCATGTAAGGACACAAATCCTACTGGAACAGGGCCCAAGTCGTATGACTTTATTTAATCTTAATTATTTCCTTAGAAACTCTATTTTCAGATACAGCTACACTGGATGGAAGTTAGAGGTACAGAATACGAATTTTGGGGGAAGAATTCAGCTCATAACATTGTACCATTGCCCCTCCCCAACAAATTTATTTTTTCCTCACATGCAAAATAGATTCGTTCCATCCCAAGAGCCCTCAAATTCTTAATTTATTCCAGTATCAACTCTAAAGTCTAAGGCCCAAAGTCTTACCTAAATATTATCTAAATGCATGAGATTCAAGATGTGATTCATCCAGAGGTAAAATTTCTCGCCAGGAGTGAACCTATGAAACAAAAAATGTTATATGCTTCCATAGTACAACAGAAAGACAGGCATAGGATAGACATTCTCATTTCGAAAGAGAGAAATAGAAAAGGAAGCAGCAATGGGTCCCAGGCAAATCCAAAACCAGGCAAAAGAAATTTCATGTGATAGTAAGGCTTGAGAATAATTCTCTTTGGTTTGATGCTCTGCACTCTTGGCCAACTTGGAGGCAGCATCACCCATGGCTCTGTGGGCAGCCTTTTCCCTTTAGCTCAGTGAGGCAGCCTCTTCCCTTTAGCTCAGTGAGGCAGCCTCATCAAATGACTCTCAGAAGAGGCCCTGCTAACATGGCTGTTTTCAGAGATCATCTGCAGGGACAACACTGTTTGAAGCTAAGCAGGAAGCAGCCTTGCTCCCTGGACCTGTAGTGGGCATGGGAGCCCTCATGATCTCTGAAACATTTGGGGAGTCATTCTTCCCTTTTCTTGAAAGATAAAGCATGTTTGAAGTGAAATATCTCTATCATGTCATTCTGAAGAGTCTAAGAAGTCGGACAGCCTTCCTTCACTTGGGTCTGTTTTCTCTGTCCACTTTAGTTCAAACTGGCAGTACCTCCACTGCATAATCACACCTCTATTTCTGCTGAGATGTATGATTAAATCCATAAATCATATCCATGGTGTCTTTATCTAATGGTTGTTCAGCGACATCCTTAGGATTCTCTTTTGAAAATACTTTCTCATTTTCTGCAATATAGATGGGCTAATGATTGTGTAAATCTTCAAGTTCTGGTTCTTCCTTGCATAAAGATTTCTTCAATTGCTTGCTCTCCTCTTGTAGGTTACTATAAGTGATGAGGAGAAACCAAACCACTCCTTCAATCCTTTGCTCTGAAATCTCCTCAGCTAAATTTCTATGTTTGTTATTCACAACTTCTGCCTTCCACAAAACACTAGAAGACAAGGCAGCAGCCATTTTGTTTGCTACTTTGTAACAAAGATTACCTTTCTTCCAATTTCCAAGTACATGTCCCTCATTTATATCTGAGACCACAACAAAATAGACTTTAATGCCCTTATTTCTATCAACACTCCCCTCAAGGCAATCTACACTTTTTATAGCATGCACTTAAGAACTTCCAGTCTCTACCCATTATCCAATTCCAAGGCTGCTTCCACATTTTTAGGTATTTGTTGAAGCAGCATCTCAGTTCTTGATACCAAAATCTGTTTTAGTGTGCTCAGTCTACCATAACAAAATATCACATTCCTGAATGACTTAAACCACAGAAGTTTATTTTATTGAATTCACAAAGGCTGGAAGTCCAAGATTAGAGTGCCAGCATAGTTAGTTTCTTGAGAGGATTCTCCTTCTGGCTTAAAGACTGCTTCCTTTCACTATGTTCTCACATGTGCCCATTGGTAAGTTACACAAAATCTAAAATAAAATCCACTTGAAATAAAGCCTACTTAAATTTGATGTTAAAAGCCAATGAAGATAAAGCATATAAAAAAGAGGCATAATCACAGAAATTAATGCAGAAATCCTAAATAAAACACTAGTAAATAGCATTTTCTTTTAAGATTGATACACTTAGACACAAAGGGTATGTGGCAGGAATCCAGGAGTATCTTAACATTAAACTAATCATATAATTTACCTTATCAAAGGATTAAAGGATAAAAATACAATAAATATCTAGAAAGCTAAAAATCTAAGAAATTTGTGGCCTGGATTCAAACCTTCTATTTCCTATATAAGTCAACTAACACACTAATTTTATCACAAAAGCATTATCTCATCGCTGTGGTATATTAACTGAATTCCATCACCTTCAGATAATCTTGATTTGTCTCCTTCAAAGTGAATCGGTGTCACTTTCAAAATAGAACACGTTTTATCAAAATGATTTCTCTCATTTCCTGTTTCCAGGAATGAAGACAATGAAATCAGAGAAATTCGCTTTCATTTGCTTAAAATTTAACACAGTAGAATATAGAAACATTTTACATTCCACCAGTTATGGATTCCTCTCATGACTAGCAAATGGAGGAGCTAGGACTAGAACCCAGATCTGAATCCTAGTCAAGTGGTCTTTACACAGCTCTTAATCTTTCATATGCACTTGAGAGATGGGAACTTCATTTCACCTAATGTTCTAAAAATCAGAAGCAGCTGAGCGCAGGGAAGGGCAAGTAGCAGAATACAGGGTTCCAAGCAGAATGAACTGAACAGCAAGAACATTAATGCGAAGGTGAGTAAGCCCATGACAGCAGGCCCAGTGGGGGAATATACCACAAGGCTTTTCCAGACATTTTCCGACATTTTCTGTAGCCTTGTATAAATACATTAGTATGTTCATAGAAAAATTTTGTAAAATAAAAGCTCTTTTTCTACAATCATTTGTGTCTGAAGACCTAATGAAAAAAGTTTCATTTTCAATTTTTCTTTGCTATGAGTTAAAAGAATAAATGAATAAATTAAGTTCAATAATCTTATTACCAATTAATATAGAGAGAGAACATAGCAAAATAGATGTTCAGCTGCATTTTTATTAAAATCATGTTTCAGGTTATGTGCTCCATTAGATTCTGAGTTCAACAGGGTCTCTTACGGAAAATACTCATTGGTAGAAAATGTTAGTAAGAACCTGCAAACAAAGAATCTACATTATAAAATTTTTATGCCCAGATAGAGCAATAGTTTTAGTAAAAGCCTAGGTTAGCCGCAGATAATTAAAAGCCATATGGTGTGGAGAGATTGGCACCCATGCATGACTCTCTTTGTAAAGAGAAAACAATATTTTATCTAAAAGAGTCATACAAACATGTTCTCTAATCAAGAACATGAACAGAAATGTGAGGAAAGTCTCTAGGACTGTGAGAAAGCTACCCAGGCTCACATAAGGCAGGGAGGGCGAGTGAGAACAATCACACTTACTGAAAACATCTCCTTTTGAACCACTTAAATATTTGAATGTTTAATCCTACCATTCACTTATGATGTAGAGGACAGCGTTGTTGTATCCCATTTTACAGCTGAGAAAATGAAACTCAGAGGCATAAAGCAAACTTCTAAGTATACCCTACCCAAGAAGTAAATGATGGAATTTAAACCTGGCTCACTTTTCCTCAAAAACCAACTCAGTACTCTACAGTATGCCTGTTCACTGACCGATAAGAAAAGTTTCTTCCAAGCTTTGATTTTTATATAACCACCAAGCAGCCTTCATTATGTAAACTGATAAGTTATCTTGTCCACATAAATTTGATGAGAAGGGGAGAATGAGCCAGCGTTGATGACAGCCACTCATGTTTCGTTCCAATGAGTCATGGAGAATTGACACAGAGTTTTGATCATCCCTGAGTATACTGGATAAGATCAGAGAAATGAATCCCATGCACAGTCATGTACGGCCCATGTACAGAAAGGCAACACTCAAGTCCTCTTTGAACATCAGCCTGTTCATAGCAAAATGATCAACGCTACCTTTTGGACCTTTACCCTCTCTCTACCCATCTCTCCTATCCCAGAGAAAATGAACATTGGGTTTTGTTAAAATTAGAAATTACATCTAGAAGCCCAACTTACTTTCAAAAAGAAAAACTGACAAAAAATAGAGACAATGTCAATCATCAAGTCATCCTCCCCGTCAGCTGATTTTCTCCACCTGGTTTCCATTGTGTGCAGCTATGTGCGTGTACATGCATGTGTGGTATCCAGACACGTGGGAGTCCTTTTGTTTCTATGACTTCTTATTAAGCCATGCCCAAAGTAAACCTAAAAGCAACATGTTTACTTTTAATCATGGATGACAATATGGATATTATAGTCATTTAGTAAAATATTTAATCTGTAATAAAACAACTCTTTATCATTGCAGATTGTTTGGGCCACATCTTACCTGATTGGCTGTGCCATTGCATCTTGCCGCCAACAAGGATCACCTCGATATCTCTACGTTTGTCACTATTGTCATGAGTATGTATTATTAGTTTTTAAAATATATATCCCCCTAAAGTAACCTAATCTAGTTTTTCAAACATTGTTTTTTTGTGTGCATAAATGTTTGTAGCAACTTTATTCATAATAGACAAGAGCTGGAAATAACCCAGATGTCCTTCAAAGATGAATGGTTACACAATCTGTAGTTTGAGTCTTGACTACTTCCTAGTTATGTGAAAACACATATTTAGTTATATATTATTTTATTCCTTTGACTGTATTTTCTCTTATTTAAAAAAAACTCCAATATATTTTCAGAGCAATTTACCAGCAGTCTTCCTATGTGTCATTGATTCTTCAGGTAATTATTATATAAGAGAAACAAATTTGATTAAGCAAAGAAACAAGGACATTTACTTCAACAAAACAAGAGTATTGTTAGACCAAAAGGACAGACATGCAGTGGAGTCTTAACAAGGAAACAAATAGAAAGAGCCAAGTGTCTTTCCCTGTATTTAGCTATCTAGTCAAAAAGTTGTTGCATGTCTTCTCTTTAAAAATTAAATATACATGTTACAGATTCTACCACAGATACTAGTCACAATTCCTAGAAAATTTAATCTGATTGTTTCAGTAAGGTTCTGCTGCACCTTCTTCTCCTATCAACTGTGATTATGAAGCAAGATCAAGTAAGACAAGGATGACTGCAGGGCCCAACTGTGTGGCTCCAGTGACGGTTATCAGAAAAGTGAAGATTATTCAGAGCTGGATAGAACTGCCTGATATTTGACTACAAATGCCAGTTCAATATCACTTCTGCACTTCTGCTGATAAAAGTCAGTGACGCCATCATATATCTCCTTCAGCTACATGTATTTCTTAGATTAACACATAAGTCTTTCCTACATAATGTGAACTCAATGCATGGTGCTTAACCACTGCCTCCCATGTATGTAGCACAATACAAAATGTTCAGTATAAATCAATGAACATGATTTATTTGAAAACACACTGCCATACTTCACATTTTCAGTGGCGCCACCACTATCACTATTGATTCAGAGTGTAATATCACCATATAATAACTCTATATGAGTTATATATAAATTGTGCTGAAGACAATAAAATCTCTTTGCTGCTACAACACATCATTTGTGATACATGTTTTCAAGGGTTGGTAGTCTGCAGTGAACTTCAACTGATCCAAAAAAGAAAAGTACAAAATATGGAGATCTATGATGGGGAATTTTCTTGGTTGAAGATTAGTCCAAGTCTCTCATTAAATCTCTTACTGAATTTAGTAATAATCTTCTTTTCAAAGTGAAATTTTAGCAGCTCAGATAAACAAATATCATATTTAAAAAGGCTTTTTAAAACCAGAACATTTACTTTTTAAAGTTGTATTTAGAAGCAGATATTATCTACATTATGTTTTTAGACATACATGGGTAAGAATTGTCTTTTCTTTTTTGTTTTTCCTTTTGAGATAGGGCCTTGTTCTGTCACCCAGGCTGGAGTGCAGAGGTGTCAACATAGCTCCCTGTAGTATTGACCTTCTGGGCTCCAGCTATCCTCCCACCTCAGCCTTCCAAGTATCTGGAACTACAGGCATACGCCACCAGGCCTAACTAATTTTTTTTTTTTTTTTTTTTTTTTTTTTTGTAGATATGAAGATGCTTTTTTTTTGCCCAGGCTTTTCTCAAACTTTCGGGCTCAAGCAATCCTTCCACTTTGCCCTCTCAAAGTGCTGGGATTACAGGGATAAGTCATTGAGCCCTGCCCGTCTTTTCTAAAGTTTCAAATTAGTCCAGAACTAGAACTTCTCATCTACTTTCTTTCCCACACCCCAGCACTTTAGTTTTATCCATGCTGATGTACTTTCATCTTTTATATACACCATCTCTTTCAATAAAAGACATTAACATGTAAAAAGTTTCTTATAACATAGTGCAAGATGGAGTTAGAACCTCTCTAACTTGCCTCACTTGAGATTTTCTTCTTAACATTGGTAAGAATCATGCCCTTTTAAATGATGGTTTACCAAGTCCTTATAGGTATTAATGAAGAATGTTCTATTGTAATTGGCTCTAAAGCCCTCTTGCTTGTGAGTCCCCTTGCTTGTACTTGGGAGTACCCAAAGTTCCCAAGTACTGTTAGGACTTGACTGTCCAACGAGATGTGCACATTGACTGAAAAATATTTTCATGTCACTCACATTTATTGGTTCTACGTGCTAAAAAATATTATAGCTGTAAGATTGGAAATCTCACACCCATCTTAAAAATTATCACTGTTCTTTACAAGAATGTTTACACAATTTGTTTTTAAAATTGGTTGTACACTGTGAGTAAAGTTTTATGTGAGTTTTTCAAAGATGGGTTTTATGAAATCACTTTTTTTTATTCAAGGGGAAATGATCCTGAAACAAAGAATGAACCTTATAAGACAGGCGTCCCATGTGAAGCCTGCCCAAGTAACTGTGAAGACAAACTTTGCAGTAAGTTTGTTTGCATTCTGTTTGTTTACAGTTAACCCATTGATCTGGGAACCATACATCCTTTAAATTAAGCATTAAAAAACATCGCACTTTTCTACAACTTTCATCTCATTCATGTACAAATTATTTCTGCTTACCCCTCCCCAATTGCCAGAGTGACTGAAAACCATTGATTTAACCTATGGCAAAGGAAATTACAAAGTCTAGGTCTGAGAACTCGAGTTCCCACCCAACAGATTAAAATATTTAATTAGGGTCAACCTAGATAAAATATTGAGGTAAGTGTAGATTTTTCTCTGCTCTCTAAAAAGTTCTTGGACCCCCTTACTGCAACCCATAATTTAGGCCCATTGCTTTCAGTTTACCGGTGTTCTCCAATTGCTTGCCCCTCCATGACTACCTACCCAGGTTGCCTGACCACTTATTGTGGCATGCAATTTTTACTGAGTGATCCTTATTCTTCTTTGGTTCCTGTGAACCATCTAAAAAGTTAGCTGATGCTCACATTATTCCTTAAAGCCTCTTTTTTTTTTTTAATTTCTTGAATAAATCTTACCTAAGGTAAAGCTTTAGCCAAATGGGTGCCATTTCTGTTTATTCCCTTAGATAGCCAAATTTCACTTTTTGAAGCCTACCTGCAAACATAATTTCTTAATTTCTAGGAATAATCTTGATTAAGATAAATTATACTAGTAATAAGTCTGTGGAGAAAAAAATAAACCTTAGAAAAATATCCTGTGACCTCCGACTTGAAAGGCCACTTATTTTTCTTCACCTAACCAGGTTACTTTATTGTCTTTTAAAGTAAGAAAGAAAATGGATTCTTCTTCCTCCTTTTACCTTTCTCTCGTTTCTCTTCTCTTGTACTCTTTTATTTACTTCTCTATCTGTCTCCCTCTCTCTTTCTCTGTATCCACTTCACTTTTTATACCCCGTTTCTGGAAAAAAATGTAGATGGAGAGAGATTCCTCCCCACCGGGAAAAAAAAAAAAAAATCAACCAGTTACCTATGCCTTAGCAGGAGAAGGGATGGCAATTGAGTAGATTTTTAGAATCTAGGTGAGAAAAGCAATGTCTGTGGTGGTATAACAATTTAATAGAAGTGAAAGAAGAGTAGGGAAGAGAAATGTTATTCAAGAAGATTGATTATATCACATAGATGATGTATATCATAAGCCCTTTCTTCACCTGTAAGTGTTTGAGAAAGTGAGAGCTATTAAAGGAATATATGAACTTAAGAATTGAACATATTGGGCACAAACAATGCTAAAAATGTAAGACCTAGACATGCAGATATAATTCATTTAATGTAATTCAAATAAAATTTATAAAAATAATTCTTACTTATAATATTAGGAAAGTATATAAATTAAGAACAACAGATAAAAGAAAACAACGGATTACAACACTTTACAGATTCAAAGAAAATATATGTTACTGCTAAAGAAAAAAAAATCCACTGATAGTCATATTTCACCAGAATACTACATAAGAGAATAAAGTAGGATAAAGATAGGTAATTGATTTTTTAAAAAAAATGAGTAATGACTTTGGCAAATTACTGATTGTAGGAAAAAGAAGCAGAGATACACTATCAAATATACAATTGCTCTGGCAGTAATATGACATCCATATTTCATCTCCTTGTTGCACCTTGATAAATCTACTGTAGTTATTCTCCAAGTTCCTGGAAGGTGAATCAGTTTAATAATTTAGGAAGAGGAAAATGTGTATAGCATAGAAGGATATTCACTAAAATAATAAACAGTAAGACATAAATGTAAATTTAAAATTTGTAGGCCGGGCGCGGTGGCTCACGCTTGTAATCCCAGCACTTTGGGAGGCCGAGGCGGGCGGATCACGAGGTCAGGAGATCGTAGACCACCCTGGCTAACATGGTGAAACCCCGTCTCTACTAAAAAATAAAAAAAAAATTAGCAGGGCGTGATGGCGGGCGCCTGTAGTCCCAGCTACTCGGGAGGCTGAGGCAGGAGAATGGCGTGAACCCGGGAGGCAGAGCTTGCAGTGAGCCGAGATTGCACCACTGCACTCCTGCCTGGGCCACAGAGCGAGACTCCGTCTCAAAAAAAAAAAAATAAAATAAAAATAAAAATAAAATTTATAAGATTGTTATAAATTTCATGCAATGATCAAACTTTATAATTGAAGGATAAGAGATATAATGGGAAAATTTAAATTTTTCCATTGTCAAGATTCAAATTCAGGACTGCATAAAGGTCAGAAAATCTTAAAAGAGAGAGGGAATTAAATTATTGTTATTTTTGCCTTTATATAGAGACAAATAGATACATTGGTTAGTTGTGATAGAGAATTCAGGTCAAAAAATATTTTGGTAAGCTTTTTGGTGCTATTGCCACAAATTTAAAATTTTGGGTATCTTCATACTGATTGGAGAATTTCGTGTGCATTTCTGCCTCTGTATGTACCAGGATGTAGGTGCGTGCACATCCATGGGATAGAGCAAGGTGAGAAAAATCACTAGAATGTTAGTTGAGATAACCTCTGGGTGGATGGAGAGATTATATATGCCATCCTATATGTGCTTTTTAATTCCATTTTCCATTGGCTATACATTACTTTTAATAATCCAAAGCAAATCTTTAACCATTAAATAATGCAGCATTAGATAATTAGACAAAAAATTATGAATATTTTATATTGCAATGGCATAGTTAATACTTTCAAAATGACAGTGTAATTAAAAATATGATTCCTCTCCAATCTGTTTATATTGGACTTAAAAAATTGTGATAAAAACTTGTTTTACACAAAGACAAAAATTTTACCTTTTTCTTTTCATACATGATCTTATCACCTGTTTTGCATTCAGATTTAGTTAGCTTATGCTAATTAAATTTAGTTAGCAATTGTTAATAAAAATTTCTCTTTTTGTCTTTAATAAGATGGTCTCTTTCCTCAGCAAATGCGATTTTTAAAAGACTGTGTTGTAAAACCATACTATTTTCTTTCAGCTAACCCCTGCATCTACTATGATGAATACTTCGACTGTGACATACAAGTCCATTATCTGGGATGCAACCACTCAACAACTATCCTATTCTGTAAAGCCACTTGTCTGTGTGACACTGAGATAAAATAGGTCTTTGTTATTTTCAACTGTTCTATGCTGTGACGATGAGGAGGAGATGTCTGTTGGATTCATGTCTTTTGCTATAGTTCAGTAGCTTCTGCTAAATTTCACTGATTTTAATCATGCTGGAGACCTTAACTCCCATCCTGATACATCCTGAAGTAACACTGTTTTAAACTTTCTTAGTGCTGGAGTAAAAGGTCAAGTCCAACACCTGCCTTAAATTTAAATCATGTGATTTATAGTTTTTAAGTTGGCATAATTCAACTTATGGTATAACTGGGTCCCTCAACAGTAACCTGGGCTAAAATAGGTCTTATGTGGTTCAACTCCCACCCCCGCCTTCCCCATATTTTCAACCACTCTGATTATCTTCCCTGCACAACTAACATCCAGTAATAATTCTTCACTTTTAAAATTTTACTTCTACTTTAAATCAATCATTAAAGGAATCCACAAAGCAAACAGAGTTCAGTCTCATCTTGCAAGGTAAATATCATTTAATTGGAAGTAGTTTAAATGTCTCATTGTTTTATTGACACATCTATATATACATTTGTGAAGCAAGAAACAATAAAAAAGCTTCGTATGCCATTAATTTAACAAAATATGTATTCAGTACTGATTGCATACAAGATGCATGTTTATATATATGGAAGGAATATAGTTTCATTTCATTGCAAAGGCAGTATAAAAGATATATAAAATAGCATAATATGAGAAATTAAGTCCCTAAAGACATATAGGTCACATATTATTATTGCCAGATGAGCATAAATAGCTTCTGTTTGGAGATTCAGGAAAGCCTTAGGGTGGAATGAGGAACATCTTCTGAGTAAACAGGGTTGCAAAGGTTATGATTATTTCAACACAATGGAAGAGCACAGTTAAGGCCAACTAACGTAAAATGCACTGAAGCCTTAGGGAATATTGAAGGGCCTGACATGGGGAAAGGGAAGGCTAAAAATACTTGGTCAAATTTTAACATTATACCAAAGTTATACCCAGTTCTACCTACTTGTATATTTCTTTACTCATTTCAATAAAGTGTTTGAAAAAAAAAAAAAAGACATCACCCACTTTCCAAAAGTAAACAGGTAAGCCATACCTCAAACCCATTCTGCATCATACAGAGGTTCTCGTCACAGGTACAAAAATTCTGTGTGGCTCCAAGAAAAGAGGACAATTTGAGAATGACGCCCTCTTGACATGACCCATGTCTTTCCATTTAGATCTATGGGCATTTCTCCCATGTAAATCCTTCAGACCCATTCTCACTTTTTACTTAAACTACATATGTTAGATCTATCCACTTGATTGTATCTATCTTTTGAGTAATTGTCATTAGCACAATCATGGACATATTAACATCAGGAGAACAGTGACTCATCCTGGGACACAGTAAGTAGGCTGGTACTTTATAGCCGAAATATTTAATAAATGGAACTCATTACAAAAATCAAAGTAATAATTTACTCTAAGAAAATTAAATGTGTGTGCTGTAGAAAATCTTTACTCATTTTTGCATTACCAGGTATTGTGATTTCTCTTACCTCACCAAGGTAGCATTAGATTTTAGAATAATTAAATTAGAGCCCTGAGTTCTGAATTTTGCATGCTAGATAACCAACTAATCCTGCAGTCTACTGTAACATATTGGCAGGCAGTGTTACTGTATTCTTACACTACAATATGCTCTTTCTAGAAATTAACATGATACTTCTCAAAATTTGCATTCCAATCACATCTCTTCCCACTTTGCATAAGAGTAAGCATATTCAAATATTTCTTAAGGGTTGGGGAAGGAGGAGGAAGGGTATGCCTACGTCTAAGGAAAATCAAATAAGCAAGTAACAAAACTTTGACCTCATTTGTCTACATTACCCAAATTTAAATAATATGTTGGCTTATCTCACAATAAATTGTATTTGTTAAATATAAAAAGTATTCCCCCCAAAAAATATCTCAGAGCAAACTGACTGTGTGAAAAGTACCCTGTAATGAAGAAGGTTGGGGGCGGTGGATGACCTCATGTACACCATTCTTCTATTATCTCAAAAGCTTTCAGAATCACACATATTGTTTGGAAAATCATTAAAAAAGCTATTTTAGATGACAGAGAAAAAACTCTTATTTACCATGCAACATCTTTCTAAAAAATGGAAACAGTCTTACACCTCTTTCCAAATGTTATTGAATATAGAATAAATAATAACAAATAATTCTGAAGCAGAAACAATATCCAGTGGCAGTCTGTACTTTCACAGTAGTAAAAGAAAAAAAATAGTTCTAAGTGTGTAATACAAAGATTAAGAGCATGAGCAGAGGTGTCACCCAGCTGGTTTGAATTCAGGACACAACATGTGCTTGCTCTGTGACTTTGAAAAAGATTATTTTTCTTTGTCCTCATCTATAAGTTATAGTAAGAGATAGAACCTACTTCATAAGTTTGTTTTAAGGATTGAATGAGTTAGTATGTAAAATCCTTAGAAAGGTATCTTGTGCTTAAAGTGTGCTCGATAACTATTAGCTGGCATTATTATTCATTCTCTTCAAACTCCAGTCCCTGAGCTCTGCCTTTCAGACATAGTTGAGCGGCACGCTCTGGACTCTTCCCTTTTGTGAACTCAGCAGTGAACATGTGTTATGGTGATAAATGAACAGTCTCTGCCCCAACCCAAATAACATAACAAGTATGGAATAATTTATTAATACAATAAAGGAGCTTTCACAGAAATCTATAGTATAAAACTACCTTTGATTAAAGAAGACATTCAATTTAGTAGAAATACCTGATTTCACCACATTATTTAGTAATTCAATGCAATCAGAATGGAAATATCAAGAAGAGCTTTTATAGAATTTACATGTTTATCCTAAATTCATTTGGAAAATAATTATTCAATAGAGACCACCAAAATTAAAATTAAATTAAAGATGTGTGTTTTGATAAAGATATTTACATATGAGAAAGATAATTTTTGGAAAACAGTATTAAAATACTAGGGCAGGAAATTTGAACAAAATCATGACATGAAATCTTGAAAGTATTTATTTGAAGATAGTAATTTCACTGGAAAACAAAAAAAAATGTATAAAGGCAGAAGTACAGCAAGTGAAAGGTTAAGATTAATTTTTAAATCTTTTAAAAGGTCGATACATAGTTGATCTATGTGACTTATGTATGTTTACATAAATATAGAAAATGAATCTATAGATTGATAATAATGAAAAGTGTTACATTAGAAAAAAAAGGAGAGAAAAACCACCAAATAGGTACAGAAATGCACATGCCATTAAACAGAAAAGTTACCTCTTTCATAATGCAAAAAAGTGTATTCCAAATATAGTTAGGATTATCTTTCTGTCCAGCCAAGAATAAATTAATTATATGTTAAAATCTACCCATCAGAGAAGTGGGAAGAGGCAACCATTTCAATACATCATTAGTGGGAACTAAAAGTTTGTAGAAAGACCCCTATTTAAAGATACCAAGTGATATTAAAAATAACATGGTTTTTGGTTTGTTAGTTTCTCATGAAGGAATGTATTATACTGAAATACTCACATGCAAAAATGTATCTCTATAAAAAGATTTTTACTTAAGCATTATTTATAATAAAGGAAAACCAAATGCTATAAAAATACACGTAAGTGCAATAAATGGTTAAGTAAATTAGGAATGATCCATGATATGAAATACTATGCAGGTGGTTAGAAAAACGATTAAAGTTTTTATATTCTTTTGATGAGAGATGCAGTTTTCCAAAAGTCAAAATTATAGAATCTAATACAAATGACATGATCCAGTCTTTCCCTCCTCCATCTACGTCCTCTGTTGCTCTCATTCCTCCTTTCACTCAAGCATTTTCTGATTTTTTACATTTCTAACATCATAACTGGAAACACTTTATGCCGCTGTGAGTTATTTGAAATATCTAATCCTTTGATTTCATTTTATTAAATTACATAATTTGAAAAAAATGCAGATAAACCTTTTCAGACACACGTTTTAAGTAAGTAGAGGAATGAAAGTGAAAACAAAATATTAAACAGTGAATCCTTAGTGTTGCAAAATATTAATATATTCAGTGATCAAGAAGCACAAATCTTTGCCTGTTTCAAATGAGGACATAAACATTAGTAAATTTGAACATTAAAGAAATATGGGGCCAGGCGCGGTGGCTCACGCCTGTAGTCCCAGCACTTTGGGAGGCCGAGGCGGGTGGATCATGAGGTTCAGGAGATGGAGACCATCCTGGCTAACACGGTGAAACCCCGTCTCTACTAAAAATACAAAAAATTAACCGGGCGTGGTGGCGGGCGCCTTAAGTCCCAGCTACTCAGGAGGCTGAGGCAGGAGAATGGCGTGAACCCGGGAGGCGGAGCTTGCAGTGAGCCGAGATCGTGCCACTGCACTTCAGCCTGGGCGACAGAGCGAGACTCCGTCTCAAAAAGAAAAAAAAAAAGAAAAAAGAAAAAAAAAAAGAAATATGGCCAACAGTGTAGCTACAAACAAAGCCCGATACCTGGTATTTGTTTTTAGTTTCAGTGTGTTTTATTTTCCCCAGAATCCACTCTTTTCTCCTGAAAGTTGATATAAAAGAAAGTTCCCTAGGTTTCCACCATGTGTCACATGACTTGCAGGAGGGAGTAGAAACCATGTTTACTTCAAAGATGAATATTGGTTAAGTGACTTAAATAGCTTCATAGGCTATCTCCAAGAAAATGTGTGGCAAACAACGGTGTAATTTTTCGGAATGGTCTTCAACATCACCCTCATGTCCATAGCTTATCAACAGTGTTTATGGACAGAGTAGCACATTTACTCATAGTATGAAAACTCATGGTATATTTCAAGGTCACTGTCTGGGGAGGAGTGTCACAGACTCAGGAGCCCAAAACAGATATGTGTTTCTCTCTCTCTCTCTCTCTGTGTGTGTGTGTGTGTGTGTGTGTGTGTGTGTGTGTGCGTGTGTGTTTACATGTAGGAATGAAAGTCAGGATGATCTGTGAAGCAAAGGTAGAAAAGGTCACCATTCAGAACAAAAATCTGTTTAGGTTGTCAGGTGGCAGTGGAGGGCAGGGTGGCACAAAATAGATCTAGATTACTGGGTAACTTGAAAAGAAAGCCTAAATGAGGTCCCAAACAAAGGTAGCACATTCTTGACTCTCCATTATAAGAACACTACAATATATACTATATTCTATATAGATTTATGTGGAGACTAAAATAAAAATAAAATCTTTCAAAGAAAATAAAATCTTTCAAAGTGTCCAGACTGATAATTGCCATGCAAGGTAATAGTGGACTTTTGAAATGTGCTCAAAGCCTAAATAGTTGGGACATCATGGTAAATACTGTGTTTTCCTTAACAAAGAAGGACACTGCTAAAGGAATGGTGATACCAGAACAGTTCTGGGATCATATACAGGAAACCATTGTATCATAGTAGGAATGTGGTACGTTCCTTATACTTATATTAGCCTGTAGTTACTGCATGTTTTTATGGGAAGAAAAATCAAGAAGCAATATAGAAATTTTCATACTGTGAAACCAATGGCCTCATGTAAAAATGGAATAGAAATGTTTTTATCCGGCTTCACGGAACTTGAAGTTCAGAATTCATTACCACTTAAATGCAAAAACCTTCCAGAAAAGTACTTCCGAAACAAGACCATGAGGTGGTATTTATGGCATTCACAGCAATATACACTGCATTTAGTAACCCTTTTAGAATGAAGCATTTGGGCACAAAAGGACCATAAATACCATGTCTGGTCTTTTACTTAATTTGTACAACACCCTATAACACTCTTGATGAATTATTTATGTAAATACCTCTAGTGCATGAAAAAGTTCAGGGGAGGAGTGTCATTTGTTGATAAAATTTTGTGAATATTGGAGCTTCTTTAAGCATATAAGTGAATTATATTACAAAAAACTTGAGAATATTATTTAGTAAAAGACTTATCAAAAATACATGTTCTTTAAATAAAGCTAAATTATCTCTGAAGAGGCATGATAATTATTTCATTTCTGCAAATCTCAACTGCATTTAGGTATCTAGCTTGAGGTTGTAAATGTCAAATCATTTTTTCAAATAGTAACTATATTCAGGTATTTAGAATTATGCTGAATGTTAATAATACATTATGTTATTTATATGGTATCACTTCAACTACATATAGCCTTTTGTGGTGGGATTTATTATTACAATTTTACATATTTAGACACTAAGACTCCGAAATTTTACATGACTTCTTCATGGTTAAATAGCTCGAAAGTAACAGAGAGATCCTACACAAAGAATAGCTCCTTCCAAAATTTAGATGCCATAAAATAGTATATCACTATATAGAGCTATAACAGGAAGTTATTAGAAGATTAATGTGGAAAGTACACACATGAAATGTAGGTTTTTCAAAATGTTCTTTTCTTTCTCATCCATTCCAACCATTTTATGAACAGGATTTTTAAATACTTGTTAAACTAAGCATTGCATAGAGCTGTCAAATAATAAATAGAATGTTAGAACCATGATAGAGAATGAGCTTCTAAGTGCAACATGTTTCAATTTAGAGAACAGACCTGGTTTGGAGTCTTAGCCCTGATACCTCTTTGTGTCTGAAACTATGTGAGAGCTTCGATGGGGTTCTTATCGCATTTTAACCATTCCTTTGGACTGAGTCTAATACCATTCCCACTGCTCCATAATGCCTCGCAGAGGTATTCAGGAAGACTCAAGTATCATTGAAATTTCCCTTGCCCGATGTTCTCGTGATGACTATCACTGAAAATGTATCCACGTGCATATCTAAATATAATGTATTAAATGATGTTATCATAGCAGAATTCTCACTTTGGCCAAGCTTCAAATTCAATTTTTTACTGAACTATATCATGATCCATCTTGATACTCTCTCCACCATTTTCTCTCTTTGTGCTTTTTAAAATTATTAGTATATTTAGGCTCAAGTTGGCCTTATATTATTTATTTTCATTTGTTTCTCTGTTTGTTGTTCCTCTGTTTCTCTTTTCTTGCCTTCCTGTGAGTTATTTGCACATTTTTAATGTGTTTTAATTTTAATGTGTGTATCACTTTGTATAGTTTCTCCTAGTGGTTACTCTACATATATATGTGTGTGTGTGTGTACTATATATATACTTAAATTATCAGTCTACTTGTATTGATATTTTGTCACTTAGAGTGAAGGGTAGAAACCTCACTTTTATTTAGGTACCTTTCCCTCCCACTTTAACAATATATTTATACTAAGTACTAACTTTACATATACTAAACATCACCATGTGTGGTGTAACAATTTTCGCTTCAACCAACAAATATTTTAAGAAAATCATGAAGAGAAAAGTCTCTTGTATTTAACTCTCATTTTTATCCATTCTGATATTTTCTTTTCTGAATTTTTAAAACTTCTCTTATCATCTCTTTTAATTTTTATCTAGAGAACATCCTTTAGCCTTCCTTTAAGAGTAGGCTTACAAATAAATTATCTGACTGTTCTTTATGTGAGAATGCCTTTATTTTCCCTTTATTCCTGAAGTATACTTTCACCGGATATAGGATTCAGGATTAATCATTTTTTTAAGCATTTGTAAAGCACGCCACTCTCTTCTGAACTCTGTGGTTTCAGAAGAGAAATCTACTGTCACTAAAATTGTTATTCCTCCATAGTTATATATTGTTTCTCTCTATTAAATTTTTTCATTGGCTTTAATTTTTCAGAAGTTTGTAAGGTGTTATGGCCCCTGTGCTGAGTTCTACTGAAGCCATTCCAAGCATTTTGTGGACAGTCTTTTCATTGTCTGTCTGGAGTCAGACAGTTATGGCTAAAAATTTTTTTCTTTTTTATTATTTCACCCTTCTTAACCCTTTGGCTGAGTTGAGCAGGCTTCCCTTGTTCTGTTTCGGTTTGTTTGTTTTAATTTTTGTCTGATCCTGTTAGTGGTTCTGGGGTTGAGACTTCTGCAGTGCTCTGTCTAGTATATATGGGAAGCAAAAAGGAAACTCAGAGAAGTCATTTTCATGCTGATACTCAAGTCCAAGGTCCTTACACAGTCTGCTTTCTTAGTTTCACTTCTAGAGTCTTCCTATGCTTGTTTGTTATGTATGCTCAAGTTTTTCAGTTTTAAGAAGGAGGACCTGAGAGAATGTGGCTCCTCTATCTTGGCCATTACCCTACCACTAAGTGAACCTGCATTTTTTTGCTTGAATGAATTAAGATTTTGCTTAAGTTCGCCGTGTAGCAGGTCAATTATCTACAGATGCAAGAAAACAGAGGTTTCCTGACCTGCTATATATATCACAAGCAATTCTTCTAATTGGTGGGGCTTTAAAATCTGGGTAAAAAGTTCTTCACTGTGGTTCAGGGCTATGAAACATATTTGTAAGCTGACAAATCACTATGGCATATGGTATGTGTAAACCCTCTCGATAGAAAAAATTCTGTCAAGAAGTTGCTCTCAACTGAACAATAAAGAACTAAACGTTTGAGGCATCCTTTTATTAGTATTGTCTATTTCTATTTGTTATGAATCTTTGTTATTTTCTTTAAAACAATTATTACTCTGTCAAGCGCATTTGCAAACTACTTATATGGAATGTTATAGTTCAGCATCTATACTGTATAAAAATTGCAAATATACGAAGAAGAAGCACCTACAGTATGTGATCATTCGCGAGTCAAGCTCCTGCTTTTCAGTTGCCTTCAGAAAATTCTAAAATGCTGAAGGTAGCGTATTTATTGATGGTACCACTAATATAAATATGGACACAGTCTATTGGAAAAGATAACTTAAAAGATAAAACAATGCCACAAAGAAACAACAAAGGATTTCTCCAGTATAATCTGAACCATGGTAATATTTTCAACAAGCAATATCTAATAATATCTGTTTAATGCACAAACCATTTTGTTTTGAACAAATACAAGTAATTTGAGCTTTTTTTAAATATGGTCATAAGTTACCCATTTGCTATTAATTGTATATTAATATTCATCTTTCAGGTTTTCACCTCCTTTAGTAGTCTTCATCTGTTTGTTAAAAATGTCTTAACTTTTCTTCCATAAACCCCTTTACATGAGCATGTACTCGTAGAAACTCCTGGACCTGCAGTTTTCTTTGCTCCTGAATTCTTTCCTACAACATATTTCATATATTATAATATTTTTAAAAATAATTTAGGTTAGCTGAGGATCTATTTTTCTACTTTTCCCCTTACAGTAAGATAATTTATCAAATATTATTTACCCTATAAACTATTTTCTCTTTTCATTTATTTATTTATTTGATTTTTATGTTTTGTGTATATATAGTAGGTGTCTATATTTATGGGGTACATAAGATGTTTTGATACAGACATGCAATGTCAAATAAGCACATCATGGAGAATGGGGTATTCATCTCCTCAAGCATTTATCCTTTGAGTTACAAACAATCCAATTACACTCTTTTAAATTATCTTAAAATGTACAATTATTATTGACTATAGTCACTCTATTGTGCTATCAAACAGTAGGACTTATTCATTCTTTCTAGCTATTTTTGTACCCATTAACCACCCCTACCTGCTCCCCAACCCCCAACTACCCTACGCAGCCTCTGGTAACCATCCTTCTATTATCTATGTCCATTGGTTCAATTGCTATGATTTTTAGATCCCACAAATGTGAGAACATGTGATGTTTATCTTTCTGTGCCTGGATTATTTCACTTAACATAATAATCTCTAGTTCATAGAATAATCATTCTATGCCTTTTTCTCTGTGATTTCAATATTCAAGCTTCATATTTGTCTTAATATCTGATAGGGTGAGGGGCTTCTTTTATTATCTTTCTTAAATTTCCCTATTAAAAAGTTCTTATTTTCCCATTTAAAACTTACAATATGTTCATCTATCCACCCTCTAAAAATCCTATGGATTATGATTGTCTTTGTATTTATTTATAGATTGTTTGAGAAAAATTTGCTTCTTTCATTGCCAGACCATCTCACCCATGAACATGTATGTCAGTTATTTTTCCAGATTTTTTAAAAAATCTGTTTAATAGAGTTTTAACGTGTTCTTCATTCATACTGGCTAATAAATTTTAATTGGACTAATCTCTTGATATTTCCTAATATATTAAGAATGGAAGTGAAATTATTAAACCTGATAAAAGGAGCTGCTAAACAAATATAAAAAGTAATGTATATTATGTACAAAGAAGCCATTGTAACATGCCTGTCATGACTGCAATCATTCAAAGTATAAAATATAGCTGCAATTACTTAACAAAGTTGTTTAAAATACCCAGGAGTATTTTGAAAACTAGACATCCATCTAGGTCTTTTCTCTTATATGTGACTTATTTTTCCTTTCTGAAAACTTTAAACAATTTTCCTTCTTGCTGTGTTATTTAAATTCATTGTGATGTTTCTAGGTATGTGTCTTAAATCTTAGCTGTTTTGCATAATGCATGATCCTCTCTCTCTCTCTCTGTCTCTTTCTCTCTCTCTCTCTCCCTCTGTTTTTCAGAGGTGAGGGTCCTGCTGTGTTACCCAGGCCGGAGTGCAGTGACTACTTACAGGCACGATCATAGTGCACTAGAGCCTTGAACTCCCGGGCTCCAGTATTACTCCTGCCTCAGCCTCCTGAGTATCTGGGACTATAGGAGTGCACCACCATTCCTGGCATAATCCTCTTTTTATGTGAGATCTTATGTTACTTTTCATGATACATAATCATTTTCTCAAATACTTTGTCACATTTATTTATACTTTCTCTCTTTTTATGACTATCACTGGTGGATCTTGATAATTTCTTTTAGTTTTCACATATCTTGACTTTGTTATCATTCTCTCTCTTTGTCCCTTTTCGATGCATTCTGAAAGCATTGCACCTCCTTGCTTCAACTCACTCACTCTTTCTTTACCTATTTATATAACTGATGAACTATGCAACCTATCCTTTTGAGTTTTTATTTTAACTCTTTTTTATTTCATTTCCAATATCGCTAAGCAGTTATGTTTTATAGTAGCTTGATCACTATTTAGATTTCCATTATGTTTATTTCTTTGACAACCTTTGTGCTTTTTACAATTTGTATTGATTTTTTAAATAGTTCAGTTTCTTTTAGTATATGATTTTCCACTGTTATCTTCCTCTCATAAGATTAAATATTTTTGAATCAATATATTTCTTGGCTTTGTTGGCATATCTGAAGGCATCAGACAAGACTTCTCACTTTATTTATTTATTTTTTTTTCTGCTTTAGGTTGAGTTGAAGAAAGTCACAAGACGTGAGACGCTTTATGTTGCAGTTAATGGTCTCTTCCTCCCTTTTCTCTGTTCCTGCAAATGGACAATTATTCCTTCTCACAAGGTAACCTCTCTGCTGCTGTATTCATAATTTCTTCCTTCTCTGCTACAACTATTTTAATTGTCAAGGCATAGAGGCTGCCAGACTTAAATATATTTGTTGTTCTAGGTTTTTGGCTTCCCACTTCAGCATGCCTCCAGCAGTGTTCTAAAATTACTCTACAATTGCCAAAGTAAGAGCAGCAGATGCTCTAAATCTATTTCCAGGACACCCGTCTCATGATCAAGGTACAAGTTTCTTTTGCCATCTTTTATTTTTTTGATGTTTCCTTTTGTTTGACATTTTATTTTTTGGACTTCTTAGACCTAAATTCCAGACCTGGCCAGCACTTGTTTCATCAAAGTTCATTCCCCTCCCCACTGCTACCCCAGTTACATCCATCCTAATCTCAATCACTGGCTTGATCTCAACAGGAATGAGTGCAAGATAGATAGTTCAACAAAAATCCTGTACAGCAGCCTATCTTTTCCCCATGAACTTTGGACATCTCCTAATGAGGCTATTTACTTGTGCCCCTCAAGAAAACAAAATAATTAAACATACTTGGGCACATCAATTTTTATAATTGAAAAAAAGGCTGTATTAAAATTCAGGTCTAATTTCTGTCATCTCTAGGGGTAGAGGAAGTTGAGAAAATTAGTATGTCTTACTTAAATTTCCACCTTATAAGGAAATTAGTGATGTCTGGCCATTTTCTGGAATGCGTATATTCTTAAGGGATATTTCTATTAAGGTTATGAGAATCAATGATCCGTGTCCCTTTACACAGTTCTATCTAATCTCTATCTAACTCTCCTCAGTTCTATCTTCCTTAGTTCTATCTAACTTTCCTCAGTTCCCCTACTTAATGCTGGAACTAAAAACACATATTATATTTCCTTTTCTTTGCTAGAGCTAGACCCCATACAGACTACAAATCTCTCCTCCCCCGCCTGTATCCTGTATGGCAGTAAAAGATATCGCATGATGTATTACAGAGGGTACATTTTAAAGACATTAAACATTATTCAATCATGTGCAGTTATTTAATGAGAAAATCTATTTTACATTACGCAGATCTCTAGAGGATATAGCATAACTGTGATGAATAAAGAAAGGTGTGTTTTATGAAAATCGAATTTGTTTTAGTCACATTCTTCTATTTCCTTTTGGAAGGTATAAATTCTGCAGTGATCAAAATTCATAAAGGAAAATGAGGCTCCTGCGTGTGTGTATTAGAAGATAATTATGCAGGCATGTAGAAGTTGTATTCCAGTTTTTATTAACAAATTCATTACATTATTTAATGATTTAAAAAAATCTCCCTAAGACTAAAATTAAGAAAATCTTAGTAATGAAGTATCATTAGAAAATTAACTTTGTTATTGTGGATTTGAAATCTCTAGCTCCTCATCGTTATTTTAAAATTCTATTGAAGGATCATTTTTGAAGCACTTTATGAAAAACAAAAAAATTTAGAACATAATTTTTTGTTATGCAAGGTAATTGCAGCTACAATTTGGATTCTAAGAGAATATGAAACACAAGTGAATCTCAGCAACATATCAGTCCTCTTCTAGGATTAGTTTGAGATAGAGATGATTTGCCTTGTTTATTTTGTAACGATTCTTATTTACTTCAATTTAATAAAATTAAAATTTCCATGTAGGACCTCACATCATGGGTTTGTCCTATTCTGTGCTTACCTGAAATAATAACTAATAACAGAGATAAGGAGGTATTCAGTATGCATAATACCTACAGAAAATATGTCCTTGTGATTTGAGTGGTTTAGCCATTTTACTTTGTCCCTATGATATCTAATGCACTTTGCATTCACTTAGGAAACAACAAATGTCCATATTGGAGAAATGAAAATTCAATAAAACTAAATTATCTTAATATTTATGTAATAGTAATATGTTAGAGAAGAGAATAGCTAGATAGATGTAGAAACCAATATAATAATAGATAAAGAGGTATGTTAAAATGTATGCATTACTTATCTTTCCACAAAGTGATAGAATAAGAATCTCTTAATTTAAAAAAAAAGTTGTTCTGCATTGCACTGTAGAGTGCAATGCACTGTAGAGTTCTATTTACTCTGCAGAGTAAATAGAATTGCACTGACACTTTTTTACCTTTAAGAACAATCCTAAAAGTTCATGGAAATTTTTTACAATACAAACTTTGTAGTTCATGGGTTGTTTCAAAATGAAGACCATTACTTCATAAAATGTGTATGTTAATATCAAATGAGTGAATAATTCATCATTTTGTTCATGAAACAGGTGATTAAATTCGCTTATAGAAATATAAATGATTGCGTATCTTTGCATCTTGTCTCTGCACAAGCCTAGTAAAATGTATATTTTACGTATATTTTCAAGAGAAAGGTGAATTGAATTTGATTAAATTCTCAACATCTTATTAATAGAATAAATAATAGATTATTGGTTGTCTCATATTTCAAAGTTGATTTCAAAATGCACTCTCTTGACTTTAACAGTCTGTATTGATATCTTCTTACCTTTAGTTTAATCATCACTCTAGGGAAGTTGGCCTAAGCTAGCAGCCATCAAAGGATTGCCAGAAAATCAGTCAGAGGACATCTTCACCCACAAAACCTGCGAAAACTGCCCAAGAGCAACAGCAGGATATAGGAGGATATAAAATTATCTCTACAGTAAACATAGGCAAAAACTTGCTTCAATAAAACACACATTTCAGGTTGACCTAGATGTGGGGTCATATGGTGTCATCAAGATTCATACTTGTGAAAGACAAGCTGGGTAAAATTAGTGAAAATAGCAGGGAAGTCTCCTCAACCTCCATAGGCTGGTTAGAATTTTGTCCCATACAAACATTTATCGGTCACAAAACTTGCTTCTAATGATGTAAATATCCTGCAATTTACCATCTATTAACTTATATTTTCAATATTACAATGAGAAATCAAATTTTCTTTTTCTTGAGTTTTTTTAAATTTTTATTTTTATTTTAAGTTCTGGGGTACATGTGCAGGATGTGCAGGCTTGTTACATAGGTAACCATGTGCCATGGTGGTTTGCTGCACCTATCAACCCATCACCTACGCATTGAGCCCAGCATGAGTTAGCTACTTTTCCTAATGCTCTCTCTCCCCCACCCCACCCTCCAACAGGCCCCAATGTGTGTTGTTCCTCTCCCTGTGTCCATGTGTTCTCATTGTTTACCTCCCACTTATAAGTGAGGACATGGGGTGTTTGGTTTTCTGTTCCTATGTTATTTTGCTGAGGACAATGCCTTCCAGCTCCATCCATGTCCCTACAAAAAATGTGATCTTGTTCCTTTTTATGGGTGCATGGTATTCCATGGTGTATATGTACCACATATTGTTTGTCTTTGATGGGCATTTGGGTTGACTCTATGTCTTTACTATTGTGAATAATGCTGCAATGAACATACGCACGCATGTATCTTTGTAATAGAATGGTTTATATTCCTTTGGGTGTATACACAGTAATGGGATTTCTGGATCAAATGATATTTCTGCTTCTAGGTCTTTGAGGAATCACTACACCATCTTCCACAATGGTTGAATTAATTTACATTCCAAGTTTTCAATGCATTGGCAGATGAAGCATGGTAACCTAGGAATGACAATCAATATATTAAAGTATTTCATTAATAGAAGATGCCATTAATTGTAAAACACACAATTATTCTGTAAATCACCTTGAAAGAAATAGAATACTGTGGAGGCTGAACTACATGTTAAATAAATCAGCCTAAGAAAAATGTCAGCTGATTGCATGAGCCTTCATCCTCCTTTGTCTCCCTTTATCTGGATCACTCTAAAAATTTAGCTGAAACTTGATGATTTAAACCTTTTCAAAAAAAATCATTGCTTCTAAAAATGGAACAGACTAAGTAAACTAATCTGTCTCCTGCTTCTGAGGTTAGACGTAATGAGCACCAACTCTGTGCCCTCTCATCAATTTGTTTTTAAAAACCATATATAAGGAATTTATGCAAAATATACATGTTTATAACTTAAATAAGGTATAGCTATGGAAAACTATATACCTGCACATACATTTACAGTATATTTACTACTATGGATTCTAAAATTGTTAAAAGCAATCTCAACTGGTGCCTTGTTATGCAGCATTTTTAGGTTTTATCTATTGTTTATTTGCAGTTACATTATTTACCATTTAAATATTTAATAAATGTAGTGAACAATTTTACCACTTAAATAACAAACATTGAATCACCAGCTGTACAAGAATAAATTGTTAACGCATATAACACCCTCAGGAGAGGCGTCATTTCACCAGCCAGCAACATGCTGCAGATGGTAAGACCTAAAAAACAGCAACATCAATATTGGCAATAATAGTAATAATGTCTACTGAGTTTTTGTAAAGTTCCACGCACTTGCAATATACTAAAAGTTGGATCTTCACAACAAACGTATGATACAGAAAAAGAAATAGAAGCTCAGAGGAGATAAGCAACTTTCTCACCATCATACAGTTAGTCAATGACAGAGCTCCGCCAGTCTAGCTTCATGCTTATGTACCCTAAGATAGTGCTTCTCAAACTTCATTGTCTTTAAGAATCTTCTGAAGAACTTAGTAAAGCACACTTACCTGGGCCACCTTCTCTGATATTCCGATTTAGGAGGTCTGACATGGAGGCCACCATAATCTCCCAACTGATGCTGATGCTGCTAGCACATATGGCAAATACTGATTAGCAAGTTATCCATGCATTTCATAGCTTTCCTCATTGAGCAGTAATCCAGAGGCTAAGACGCTCATCTGAGATTTAAGATATCCAGATATTTAGCCTGTTGATGTTGTCAGATAAACAAATGTAGGTAAATTTACTCTCTAGTTTCATTGCATTTCATAAGAGCTTAGAGAAAATGTCTTTCCACTCTAAACCTATGTTCTTCCACAAGACCAATTTAGGAAAGTATCAGGCGCATGAGGTAATTAGCCTCACATTCATTGGCCAGCAGTATCACTCAGGTTTATGAGCACCTTCAGCCTGCTTCTTGAACCCTGGACTGGCCTAAAGAACAAGAGTTAGAAATAGTGCAGGCCCTGGAGGGTGATTCTAATGAACAACTTCTTCACACAAATCACATAAAGAAGGAAACAAAAGAATAAAAAAGAATTTCAAAATTTTAATCTTGGTCATCTTAGAATTCAAAATGTCATTTGAACAAAACAATACAAATCAATAGCTATCATAAGCACTCCCCTGTTGGAAGGGTTTTAACTAACACGCATATGGTGCTTATTATTGACAGGCAATTTTCTAGTACCTTCTTACAATGACTCATTTAATTCTTCCAATAATCCTGTAAGGTAGATAATACTACCATCTCCATTTTACAGATAATGACACTAACATTCAGAAAAATTAAGCACCTTATCCAGTTATAAGCATTGGAGCCCATATTCCAATGGAAGTGGGCCAGCTACAGGTATTCTGCTCTTAACCACTTTTCTTCCTTAGGACAAATGGGGTCCAAACTCCTTGGCTGCCAGATGAGCAAGTAAGTGTGCCTAGTTAGTACTAACAAGATTGAAGAATCAATAAAAAATGTAGCCTTACATGAGCTCATTTAAAAATAAGTTTTCTCATTTTTTTTATTTAAAAATAAGGTTTTAGAAACCTTATTCCTGGGGAGTTAAGATGAGTACAAAGGAGACATTAGAAAGTATTATAAGCCTGAAATGTACGTCTACCAACTCTCCAAGTGGGCTTGCCCAGCAAAGGGATTATGGCAACTTTCAGAAAGGGCAGACTGTAGAGCTGCTTCTGGGCAGGACTCCCAGCTGCTGGGCGAATATGCCCTTCAGAATGATGATGCACTGCATCCATAACAAGCAGTCAGTTGGGATTTAACTAGGTAAGTTCCTGTTCTAAGTATATGGTAACCTGGTCGTAATAGGAAAGTTATCTTTATTAACAAGTGCGACAATATTCCCTACCCTGGGAGAAGTGAATATGGTGTTGTATCTCTGTTCCTTAGACATAGGCTGTAACAAATGTGTCTTTTCTTGCATGAAGAAATTAAAACCTGACAAGCATGTCTTTACACAGTGTCAGGCTAATGAATTATTTCATTCATCCTGTAGTTTAGTTAATTCATTAACATGAAATGTCCTAGAAAGTTATCATCAGATGGCAGCACACACATATCATAATTAAGACTTCTTCCACTAAAAGAGAAAATACTGAAATTCTAAGTTAGGTTGTCATTCTAAAATTATTCTAATGTGTAGCTAAATAACTTACATAAAAGCCTATTGAAAAAACAATGTTCACACTTTTTTTTGGCAATGTTTTGCATGTGAATATAGTGGCAGTCCTTTAAATCGATGTAGAGAATGAGAGGATGAAACAATCTTAGGGAAATTATTTATCCAATACCTAGTGATAAAGAGGTTCTACTTTTCACCTTACTTGTAGAACAACTGCTGCTGACAAGTACCCAAGAGCATATCTGTGCCTCAGTTTCCTAATTTGTAAACGGAGATAACAATAGTACTTCCATTTTGGAGTTGCTGTGAGGAAAAAGTAAGAAAAAATATTTGCAGACTTAAAAACAGATTCTAGTGTGTTGTGTTACCTATTAATTTTTATTATTCACAATTTTAAATATAGATGCCCAATACTATACTGCTTTCCAATCATAGTTATCATTTATTAATTCAGGACATAGTTCAGGATTTGCCATATAATAATTATATGGCATTGATTATCACATTAAGCCTTTGGAACAAATGTTTTAATATGAACTATGAGTCAAAGAAACTGAGATATCGAGATAAAATAATGTGTCAGAGGTAAAACTACAAATAAATAATGTGATGGATTTCTATCTTGGTAGATCTACTGAAAGCATTTCCTTAAGTCTTTACTACATCAGAAAGAGAGGCTAATCTGATTGTTATTATCAAATTTTGAATTTGTGAATTTAACGAACTATGTTTTATTTTTTCTACCATAAATAAAAGAGTAATTTCATTATTTAAATTTTTAGCTTATAAGTTGAGGATATTGCTAGATGTGGTTTTAAAAAATAACCTAGACTTATCATGGAAATTTTAATAAGATCATGAGTTTGATATTTACTCTTCCTCTATAGAACTGGAGTAAAGATGCTGCGCAAAAGGCCAAAATGATGTCAAAGCAGTGTAAACTGATACAGATCAAAGAACAGGAGTGGAAAATTGCAAGCAGGGATATGTAGCGGCTCTGTATGGCCCAATGTGCTCAAAACTCTCCAGAGGTTGTTAATTTCCTGGCAAGATGAGGTTACATCATACAGTCTGTATTTGCATATGTACCCATACTTGACAGTGAAATATGGTCTAATACACAGGTTTTATTATTATTATTATTTAATTTGAATATTCACATTTATAGGTTCCAAATTCAGGTCACCAAGGATAAGGGAATCAAAGCTCTAAAAATTATAGAATATTTGAGCAATGCAATAATGACTGGACAGGCAGCTAGATGCTTAGATGGTTTCCACTCAATGCAGTTGTCTCAGCTACCCACAATATATTACCGCTAGGATTTCTTTAGCTTTAGGAATTGTCGATAGGCAATTCTTCTGATCTGCCCATAAGAACATTTTTAAGGGGTCAAAGGTGAGCCCATCTCATGGCAATACGATAACCATGTAAATTAGGTTCACTGCTAGTTTTCAGAAAAGCCATTAGTACTTTCTACACAAGTGGATATTAAAAATATCTACAAGAATATTTTATTATAAAATAATAAAAAGTACTAATGGGACTTCTATATCTATAGATTATTGGTAATCTTTGAGCAATATCATTGACAAATTAATTTTCAGTAGCAAAACTGAATAAAACTAAGCTCTTTTAGCTATTCTCCAAAACTCTTATGACAAAAGGATTCCACCATATTGTACGCTTTAGCATTTGTAACTCGTCAAGAATTGTTTTTATTTCTCAAGTGTACTACTTGTATATAGACACATATATGACCTTATTTTATCACACATCCACCTTAAAAATACATAGCAAGTAAAAGTAGCTCTTAAAGAAAGTAGCTCTTAAAAGTAGCTCTTTAGAAAGCAACATTGGGTGCAGGAACTAAGAGGACTGGCTGGTGCTTTTCATCAGTAGTAGGTGGTGGTGGCTAAGGTTTCCACTGTGGGCACAGCCCAACACAGCCCTATCAAACTGACTCTGCAGATCACCAAATGGCTAACATTACACTGAAAAGTGTAGGGAAAATATTGATTTGTTTATTTTCTATGAATTGAGCTAACTTTCCTCACTAGTCTTGTTGTTAAATAGTGGAGAAAAAAAATTTGAAAAAAAAATAAAATAAATTTGAATTCAATGGAGCAAATTTGGTCTAATGCAGTACAATACTTTTTAAAATCTGTCTTTGCAAATTAAAATAAAATACTGTTATCTTGGATTTTCTCTACCTCTTGTTTACTCTTGAGCACCCTTAGCAATTTTGTGTGCCATTTCTACGGTATCTGAAAAGTTATTAACCCAAGCCATATTAAAGGACATGGGCTCTAGCAGTTTGATTTATTTCTTTACCAAGGACACATTGTAAAACATTAACTCAAGTCTTCCCTCAAAGTTTTCTTACTCTTTCTTATTCTCTGAGGAAAGTATACAAATACCGCCAATTTTCTAGCTGCTTCCATATCTATCTAGATATTTCTAAAGCTCACTACCCCATTGAGGATGGAAACTACCAGAGATAGGGATGAACAGGTAGGGCAGGAAATAATAGTTCTTTTTTTTTAACTTTCTTTCTCTTTCTTGTCTTCTCCTCACAATCCCTTGTGACAGAATGTCAGGCTTTTGAATTACTTAAATTCATATTCTCTTAAAATGGGGCAGAAATCTGAATGGCCTTTTGAAGACTTATGTTGCCTATCACAGAGAAGCAACACTATAAGCTGAGTTGGCTACTGTTGGTGGTTGTTGTAAAGACAAGAAATGAATACACTGTCATGTGTTTTCCTTAGCCGTATTAATTTCCTTGGTGTAGGTAGCAGGGTGTTTTTCAGAGAAGGAACTCAGATATTGTGTAGAGAAAGGCAAGTCTATCATTAGGTAGACCTCCTGGATTTAGTTTTCACATACCTTGGGACACTCTGAACTGGAAGACATGGCCACTCTACCAAAAAGTGCCTGAGATGTGGGAGGAGGTGGAGGTGGAGTGGTGGATGAGTATTTGACTGAAAAACTGTGGCCCTGGGAAACAATGTGGGACTGGGTTCAATAAGTTGACAATTTGCATCTTCCCTGGCCCACAGAAAGGAAGATCATTCCTAAATACCATGCTGGATGAAAAGCCCACACCATAGGTGGATGGTTAAATAGAACAGATGCTTATTTCATGGTCCTTACATAATGAATAGAATGGCTTCAGAGTAGCCATGGACCCTGTTACAATACTTAAGCTTCTCTGATTTGGTTTCACTCATCTCCATTAGCTTGAAAGAGACAGAGACTGAAAGGTTGGTTGATCTGATTTCAACGCTTGTTTATCATCTCCTGCTATCAACTTATCACTGAACCTGGGCACCACATACTTATTTATCAATGAGAAAGAAAGAAGATTGCCAACAGGGATATAACTGAGTTTACCCCCTCTAGATGTTGCCTAGATGATCAGTGAAGCATTTGTAAAATAAAAATGAGAAAAATATTCTTGTAGGGTACGGCCCAGCCCTATTTCCTTTTTTCAGATAGTAAATGTCAAGGAAATATACAATTGTCATCTTATCCTGTCTCATGATCAAATGTAATTGAAGGCTGGTACAATGAGTCTAAAAATTTTCAGAGGAGGGAATGGACATTCTTGGATAAAGATATAGCAGCTAACCCTTATAAAAAGGTAAGCCTGTGTGATGGCAAATACCTGTATTTTTAAGTGACTGTAAGCATGTGTGACCAGAAAAATGAGAAAAACTGTAATCATTCTACTGGCTTATTACAAACTTACACTTGACCTACTGAGTTCCCCTTATAATTCAGATCCCAAGGAAGTGTAATTTCCTTAATATATGACTTATAGAAGATGCTTAACCTCTAAAAAAGATTCTCTTTTACCAAACTCTAGCCTGTCTCAGAGGAGCCTATTTCTTGAATATACCTGCCAATTTTGGCCTATAAACACTTGAACAAACACTTCGATCATTTCAAACAGTTCAAGGCTGCATACATAGGATGATATTAGCCTTTCTTAAAGTGCCTTCCTGAAAAAACTCAAGATCATCAAAAGTTTGTTTCAGCCAACACCTGACGATTAGGGCCCCTGTCTCAGTGTCTGTGGGAAAAGAGCAGCCTAATTCCCACAAGTGCCAGTTAGTGCCAGTTAGCAAACCCAGGTGTGTTTCCCGTGGACAAACTCCTCACTTTTAAATTTTTTTTTCTTTCCTTGGCACTATTGAGCTTCCACTCACCCTCTCCCTATTTCCTCATCCTCCCTTTAAAATGCCCAGTCATTCTGTATGAATCTAAGTTGACTTAAGTTCACATTGGATTTTTTTCCCTACTGCAATAGTTATTACCAACTAAAGTATTTTTCTCAACAATTTACCTAATGTTTGGCTGTGTTTATCATTGACACCCCTTAGTTCCATTTTTATTCATTTGGTTTCTCAAGAAGCCACAAAATCAATCTCATTTTTAAGTTACATTTGTAATGTATGTAAATAATAAAAACAACAGCTTCTGCCTCTTTTCCAATAGAGGAATTCCCATAAAATTTACCATTTTATCATTTTTTAGTTATGTAGCATTAGTGATCAGGAACATAAAGTACATTGATACTATTTTGCAACCATCTCACTATCTACAGAGCTTTTTCATCTTCCTAAACTGGAACTATGCACATTAAACAATAACTGCTCATTTTCCCTTTCCTAAGCTCCTGGAGACCTTTTTGTTTCTATCAATTTGTTTTTTTTTTCTATTTCACTTTTTGTTTTTAACAATTTGACTACTCTAGGTACCTCATATAAGTGTACTCATATAGTGCTTGTCCTTTTGTAACTGACTTATTTCCCTCAGCATAATATCTTCAATCCGTGTTCATCCATGTTTTAATGTGTTGGAAAGTCATTTATTCTGAAGGCTGAATAATATTCCATTGTGTGTATATAGCACGTTTGGTTTATACATTCAGCTGTCAATGAACGTTTGGGTTGTTTTCACCTTTGGCTATCGCAAATTATGCTGCTATGAACATAAGGGTATAAATACAAGCATACCTTGTTTTACTGCACTTCACTTTATTGTGTTATACAGATACTGCTTTTTTTTTTTTAACAAATTAAAGATTTTGGTAGTCCTGCATCAAATAAGTCTCTTAGGACCATTTCCAAACAGTATGTGCTCCCTTCACATCTCTGTGCCACATTCTCACAACACTGTAATTCTCAAAATATTTTCAACTGTTTCATTATTATTGTACTTGTTACAGTGACCAGTGATCCCTGATGTCACTATTGTAATAGTTTTGAGGTGCCATGGACCACACCCATATAAGATGCAAACTTAATTAATATATGTTATGTGTGTTGTGACTGCTCCAACAATAGGCAGTTCCCATATATCTTCTTCTCCTTGGACCTCCCTATTTCCACAGAACAATATTGAAATTAGGCCAAGTCACAACACTACAATATTCTCTAAGTATTCAAACACAAGGAAGAGTTACAAGTCTCTCACTTTATATCAAAAGGCTAAAATGAGTAAGCTTAGTGAGGAAGGCAGGTTGACAGCTGAGATAGGTCAAAAGTTAGGCCTCTTGTGCCAGTTAGCAAGTTGTGAATGCAAACGAAAAGTTCTTGAAGGAAATTAAAAGTGCTACTCTAATGAACACATGAATAATAAAAAAGCAAAACAGCCTTATAGCTAATATGGAAAAAGTTTTAGTAGTCTGCATAGATCAAACCAGCCACATTTCCTTAAGCAAAGCCTAATCCAGAGCACGGCCCTAACCCTCTTCGATTTTATGAAGGCTGAGAGAGAGGAGGAAGTTGCAGAAGAAAAGTTTGAAGGTAGCAGAAGTTGCTCCAGGAGGTTTAAGGAAAGAAGCCATCTTCATAAAACAAAAGTACAAAGTGAAAGAGCAAATGTTGATGGAGAAGCTGCAGCAAGTTATCCAGATCTAAGATAATTAATGCTGGCAGGCCGTGGTGGCTCACACCTATAATCCCAGCACTTTTGGAAGCTGGGGTGGGCAGACTGCTTGAGGCAAGGAGTTCAAGATCAGCCTGGACAACATGGCAAAGCCCCATCTCTACTGAAAATACAAAAATTATCCAGGTGTGGTGGTACACACCTGTAATCTCAGCTTCTTAGGAGGCTGAGACACAAGAATTGCCTGAATCCGGGAGGCAGAAGTTGCAGTGAGCCGAGATTTCAACGTTGCACTCCAGCCTGAGTGACAGCACAAGAATCTGTCTCAAAAAAAGAAAAAAAAAAAGATAATTAATACAGGGGGCTACACTAATCAACAGATTTTTCTTTCATTTTATTTTATTTTAGATTCGGAGGGTACATGTGCAGGTTTCTTACATGGTTATATTGCATGATATTGAGTTTTGAGCTTCTAATGATCCCATCGCCCAAGTAGTGAGAATAACATCTGATAGGCAGTTGTTCAACCATGCCCTCTCCCACCTTCCCTTTTCTGGGATCCCCAGTGTTTATTGTTCCCACCTTTGAGTTTGTGTGTATCCAATTGAACAACAGATTTTCAATATACACAACACAACTTTGTATTGGAAGAATATGCCATCTAGGAATTTCATAGCTACAGAGGAGAAGTCAATGTCTGGCTTCAAAGCCTCGGAGAACAAGCTGACTCCTTTGTTAGGGGCTCATACACATAGTGACTTTAAGTTTCAACTTCAGTCATTGCTCATTGACCATTCCAAAAATCCTAAGGCCCTTAAAAATTATAATAAATCTAATCTGCCTGTATCATATAAATGAAATAACAAAGCCTGGATGGCAGAACATTTTTTTTCTTCAACTTTTATTTTAAGTTCCAGGGTACATGTGCAGGATGTGCAGGTTTGTAACATAGGTAAACATGTGCCATGGTAGTTTGCTGCATAGATGAACCCATCACCTAGGTATTAAGGCCAGTATCTATTAGCTATTCTTCTTGATGCTCTCACTCCTCTCACCGCCCCCAACAAGACCTCAGTGTGTGTTGCTCCCCTTCATGTGTCCATGTGTTCTCATCATTCAGGTCCCACTTATAAGTGAGAATATGTGGTGTTTGGTTTTCTGTTCATGCATTAGTTTGCTGAGGATAACAGCTTCCAGCTCCATCCATGTCTCTGCAAAAGACATGATCTCATTCCTTTTGTGGCTGCATAGTATTCCATGCTATATATGTACCACATTTTCTTTCTCCAAGCTATCATCGATGGGCATTTGGGTTGATTCCATGTCTTTGCTATTGTGAATAGTGCTGTAAGAAACATATGTGTGCAAGTATCTTTATGACAGAATGACATATATTCCTTTGGGTATATACCAAGTAGTGGGATTGCTGGGACAAATGGTAATTCTGCTTCTAAATCACTGAGGAATTGCCACACTGTCTTACACAATGGTTTCACTAATTTACACTCCCACCAACAGTGTAAAAGCATTCCTTTTTCTCTGCAATCTCACCAGCATCTGTTGTTTCTTCACTTTTTAATAATCACCATTCTGACTGGTGTGACATGGTATTTCATTGTGGTTTGAATTTGCATTTCTCTAAGGATGATTGATGTTGGGCTTTTCTTATATATGTTTGTTGGCCACATGAATATCTTCTTTTGAGAAGTATCTGTTCATGTCCTTTGCTCACTATTTAATGGGGTTGTTTGTCTTTTTCTTTTGCATTTGTCTAACTTCCTTGTAGACTCTGAATATTAGACGTTTGTTAGATGGATAAATTGCAAAAAGTTTCCCCCATTCTATAAGTTGTCTGCTCACTCTAATTATAGTTTATTTTCCTGTGCAGAAGCTCTTTAGTTTAATTAGATCCCACGTGTCAATTTTTGCTTTTGTCGCAATTGTTTTTAGCATTTTCATCATAAAATCTTTGCCCATGCCTATGTTCTGAATGATGTAAATGAAATAGATTTTTTTCTAGGATTTTTATAGTTTTGGGTTTTACATTTAAGTCTTTAAATCATCTTGAGTTAATTTTTGCATAAGGTGTAAGGAAGGGATCTAGTTTCAATTTCCTGCATATGGCTATCCTGTTCTCCCAGCACCATTTATTAAATAGGGAATTATTTCCCTATTGCTTAATTTTGTCAGGTTTGTTAAAAATCAGATGGTAGTAGATGTGCAGTCTTATTTCTGAGTTCTCTATTCTGTTCCATTGGTCTATGTGTCTGTTTTTGTACTGATACCATGCTGTTTTGGTTACTGTAGCCTTGTAGTATAGTTTGAAGTTGGGTAGCATGATGCCTCCAGCTTTGTTCTTTTTGCTTAGGATTATCTTGGCTATATGAGCTCTTTTTCGGTTCCATAGTTTATTTCTAATTCTGTGAAGAATGTAAAATGGTAGTTAAATGGGAATAACATTTAATCTATAAATTACTTTGGGCAGTATGGCCATTTTCATGATACTGTTTCTTTTTATCCATGAGCATAAAATGATTTTCCATTTGTTTGTGTCCTCTCTGATTTCCCAGAGCAGTGGTTTGTAGTTCTCCTTGAAGAGGTCCTTCACTTCCCATGTTAGCTGTATTCCTAGGTATTTTATTCTCTTTGTAGCAATTGTAAATGGGAGCTCATTTATGATTTGGCTCTCCGCTTGCCTGTTCTTGATGTGTATAGGAATGGCAGCAATTTTTGCACATTGATTTTGTATCCTGGGACTGCTGAATTTCCTTATCAGCTTAAGAAGCTTTTGGGCTGAGACAATAGGGTTTCCTAGATATAGGATCATGTCATCTGCAAAGATAATTTGACTGTCTTTCTTTCCATTTGAATATGCTTTATTTCCTTCCCTTGCCAGATTGCCCTGGCCTGAACTTTCAAAACTATGTTGAATAGGAGTGGTGAGAGAGGGCATCCATGCCTTGTGCCAGTTTTCAAGAGGAATGCCTCCAGCTTTTGCCCACTCAGTATGATATTGGCTGTGGTTTTGTCATATATGGCTGTTATTATTTTGAGGTATGTGTACTAGTCCATTTTCATACTGCTACGAAGAAATATTCAAACTGGGTAATTTATAAAGAAAAAGAGGTTTAATGGACTCAGTTCCACATGACTGAGAAGGCCTCACAATTATTGCAGAAGGCCAAGGAGGAGCAAGGGCATATCTTATATGGTGGCAGGCAAGAGAGCATGTGCAGACACTCAATGTGAGCTCGTGAAAGCGGCTGGGAGAGGGGATGTACCCTGCAAAGTCACAGGGGCAGAGCTGCCCAAGGCCATGGAAGCCCACCTCTTGAATCAGCATGACCTGGATGTGAGACATGGAGTCAAAGGAAATCATTTTGAAACTTTAAGGGTTAATGACTGCCCATTTGTATTTCAAGAGAAGGTTGTTCAATTTCTACGTAGTTGTGTGGTTTTCAGTGAGTTTCTAATTTGATTGTGCTGTGGTCTGAGAGGCTGTTATGATTTTAGTTCTTTTGCATTTGCTGAGAAGTGTTTTGCTTCCAATTATGTGATCAATTTTAGAGTAAGTGCCATGTGGCAATGAGAAAACGTATATTCTGTTGAATTTGGGTGGAGAGTTCTGTAGATATCTATCAGGTGCACTTAATCCAGAACTGAATTCAGGTCCTGAATATCTTTGTTAATTTTCTGTCCCAATGATCTGTCTAATATTGTCAGTGGGGTATCAAAGGCTCCCACTATTATTGTGTAGAAGTCTAAGTCTCTTTGAAAGTCTCTAGGGACTTGCTCTGTGAGTCTGGGTGCTTATGTGTTGGGTGCATATATATTTAGGATAGTTAGCTCTTCTTGATGAATTGAACCCATTACCATTATGTAGTGCTCTTCTTTGTCTTTTTTGAATTTTGTTGGTTTAAAGTCTGTTTTGTCAGAAATTAGGATTGCAACCCCTGCTTTTTTCTGTTTTCCATTTGCTTCCTAAATTCTCCTCCATCCCTTTATTTTGAGCCTTTGTGTGTGTTTGCACATGAGGTGAGATGGGTCTCTTGAATACATCGCACTGATGGGTCTTGACTGTTTATCCAGTTTGCCATTCTGTGTCTTTTAATTGTGGCATTTAGCCCATTTACATACAAGGTTAGTATTGTTATGTGTTAATTTGTTCCTGTCACCATGATGCTAGCTGGTTATTTTGCAGACTTATTTATGCAGTTGCTTCATAGTGTCATTGTCTGTGTACTTCAGTGTGTTTTTGTAGTGGATGGTAACAGTTTTTCTATTCCATATTTAGTGCTTCCTTCAGGAGCTCTTACAAGGCAGGCCTGGTGGTGATGGACTTCCTCAGCATTTGCTTGTCTGAAAACAATCTTATTTCTCCTTCACTTAGGAAGCTTAGTTTGGCCAGACACAAAATTCTGGGTTGGACATTCTTTTACTTCAGAATGTTGAATATTGGCCCCCAATCTCTTCTGGCTTACAGAGTTTCTGCTGAGAGGTCTGCTGTTAGTCTGATGGGTTTCCGTTTGTAGGTGACCTAGCCTTTCTCTTTGGCTGCCCTTAACATTTTTTCTTTCATTTCAACCGTGGAGAATCTGAGAATTAGGTGTCTTGGGGTTGATCTCATGGAGTATCTTACCGGACTTCTCTGGATTTCCTGAATTTGAATGTTGGCCTGTCTTGCTAGGTTGAAGTCCTCCTGGATGATATCCTGAAGTATGTTTTCCAACTTGGTTTTGTTCTCCCCGTCTCTTTCAGGTACTCCAATCAGTCATAGGTTTTTTTTTTTTTTTTTTTTTTTACATAATCTCATATTTCTCAGAGGTTTTGTTCATGTCTTTTCATTCTTTTTTCTCTATTCTTTTCTGCTTGTCTTATTTCAGAAAGACAGTCTTCAAGCTCTGAGATTCTTTCCTCCACCTGGCCTATTTGGCTGTTGATACTTATGATTGCACTGGGAAGTTTTGTTGTGTTTTTCTGCTCCATCAGGTCATTTATATTCCTCCCTAAACTGGCTATTCTGGTTATCATCTCCTGTAATTTTATATCATTATTATTAGCTTCTTTCCATTGGGTTAGAACATGCTCCTTTAGCCCAGTGAAGTTCATTATTACCCACAGTCTGAAGCCTATTTCTGTCAATTCAGCCATCTCAGCCTCAGCCTAGTTCTGTGCCCTTGCTGAAGAGGTGCTGTGATCATCTGGAGGAGAAGAGGCACTCTGGCTTTTTGAATTTTCAGCATTTTTATATTGATTCTTTCTCATCTTTGTGGGCTTATCTGTCTTTGATCTTTAAGGTTGCTGACCTTTGAATGGGGTTTTTGTGGTGTCTTTTTTGTTGATGCTGCTATTGTTGATTTCTATTTGTTTGTTTTTCTTTTAGCAGTCAGACTTCTCTTCTGCCTCTTCTGTAGGGTTGCTGTGGTTGGCTGGGGGCCCACTCCAGGCTTTAATCACCCGGGTATCCCCTGCACCTGGAGGTATTACCAGTGAAGCTGCAAAAGAGTACAGATGGCAGCCTGTTCCTTCCTCCCAGAGCTCCATCTCAGAGGGGCACCATCCGATGCCGCCCCGAATGCTATTACAAGAAGTGCCTGGAGATCCCTGTTGGGAGGTCTCACTCAGTCAGAAAGCATGAGATCAGGGACCCACTTAAAGAAGCAGTCTGGCAGCCCATTGGTGGAGTAGGTATGCTGCGCTGGGGGAAAGCCCCCTCCTCCAGACCACCTGAACTCTCCAGATCCAGCAGTCAGGAAAGGGTAAGTCACTGAACTGTGAAGACCACGGCCACCCCTCCCCTGAGGGACTCCACCGAGAAAGATCAGAGTTCTTTCCATGAAACATTGGCTGGAGTTACTAAAATTATTGAAGGGAGGCCCTGCCCATTGAGGAGGGATGGATTGGGGTCTCACTTAAAGAAGCAGTCTGGGCCTGGCGTGGTGGCTCACGCCTGTAATTCCACCACTTTGGGAGGCCAAGGTGGGTGGATCACAAGGTCAGGAGTTCAAGACCAGCCTGGCCAATATGGTGAAACCCTGTCTCTATTAAAAATACAAAAATTAGCTGGGTGTGGTGGCGGGCACCTGTAGTCCCAGCTACTCGGGAGGCTGAAGCAGAAGAATGGCTTGAATCCTGGAAGTGGAAGTTGCAGTGAGCCAAGATAGTGCCACTGCACTCCAGCCTGGGCAACAGAGTGAGACTCCAACAACAACAAAAAAAAGAAGCAGTCTGGCCATGATCTGCCACAGCAGCTGCGCTCTGCTCTGGGGAATTGCTCCTGGTTTGGACCACCCAGACTCCCTGGAGCTGGCAGGCCAAAACAGCAAACTCAGGCTGCAAAGATAGCAGCTGCCCCTCCTCCAGGGAACTCGAACATCTCATGCAGTATCCAGCCTGCTGCCTCTGGCCAGCTGGAATTCCAAGCCAGTGGGTCTTAACTTGGGAGCAGGGCCTGCTGAACAACGCCACTTGGCTCCCAGACTTCAGCCCCTTTCCTAGGGAAATGGACAGATCTGCCTCACCAGAATTCCAGGGGCCTGAGTTTGCAAAAATTCCTGGGTCTCTGTGTGTGCCTGAGCAACTGCCAAGAGTCTGCCCAGCTCTGTGCTTTGGACCTAATGCCCTGGTGGTATGGGCTCACAAGGGGATCTCTTCATCCACGGGCTGAAAAGATCCATGAGAAACATGTGGTTTCCTGGCCCGGGTCAAACAATCACTCACCACCTCCCTTAGCTAGGGGTAGGGGTTCCCCTGATTCCATGACACTCCTGGGTGGACCATCACCCCACCCTACTTTTCCTCACTCTCTGTGGATCATGTGACCACCTAGTCAGTCCCAAAGCCAGAACCTGGTTAACCCAGTTACCTCAGTTGAAGGTGTAGAATTCACTCGAAATTTTCATTCTTCTCCATGAGAGCTGCAGACTACAGCTGCTTCTAAGCAGCTGTCTTCCAGAATATTTTTTTTTTTCAAGACGGAGTATTGCTCTGTCGCCCAGGCTGGAGTGAAGTGGCGCGATCTCAGCTCACTGCAACTTCCGCCTCCTGGGTTCCAACGATTCTCCTGCCTCAGCCTTCCGAGTACCTGGGATTACAGGCACACGCCACCACGCCCAGCTAATTTTTGTATTTTTAGTAGAGACAGGGTTTCACCATGTTGGCCAGGCTGGTCTGGAACTCCTGACCTCATGATTCAACTGCCTCGGCCTCCCAAAGTGCTGGGATTACAGGCATGAGCCACCGCACCCAGCCCAGAACATTTTTTTACTGCATATTTTTCTGAATATTTTAAGCCCACTGTTGAGACGGAATACTGACAAAATAATATTGCTTTCAAAATGTTACTGGTCATTGACAATGCACCTGGTTACCCAAGAGCTCTGATGGAGTTGTACAAGGAGATTAATACTGTTTTCATGCCTACTAACACAACACCAATTCTGCAACCCATGGATCAAGGAGTAATTTTAATTTTCAAGTCTTATTATTTAAGAAATACATTTTGTAAAGCTATAGCTGCCATAGACAGTGATTTCTTTGATTGATCTGGGTACAAATTACCTCCCCCATAAGAGAAAGATTCAAGTTGCTTCAAAAATTAAAATAATTTGTGAGAACGTGTATTAGTGTGTTCTCACACTGCTAATAAAGACATACCCGAGACTGGGTAATTTATAAAGGAAAGAGGTTTAAATGGCTCAAAGTTCCACATGGCCAGGGACACCTCACAATCATGGTGGAAGGCAAAGGAGGAGCAAAGTCACCTCTTGCATGGTGGCAGGCAAAAAGAGCCTGTGCAGGGGAACTTCCCTTTATGAAACCATCAAATCTTGTGAGACTTATTCACTGTCACGAGAACAACATGGGAAAGAACCAACCCCATGATTCAATTACCTCCCAATGGATCCCTGCCATGACATGTGGGAATTTTGGGAGCTATAATGCAAGATGAGATTTGGGTGGGGACACAGCCAACCCATATCAGAATCCAAATGTGATTAATATGGTACATAGCTCACATATCTCAAAAATGTGAGACAAACTAATATTTCCCACTCCCCTCTTTATGACCACAGCCTTTCAATCATGGAGTATTTCAGCAGCACAGAAATCTCATGGCATATGCCAGGATTACTGTCAGGGGGAGGAAACAGACTACAACCCTCTCAACTCCAGCCTCTACCCCTTCTCTGTGGCAGTGTTATTTTCAGCATATTATTATAGATTAAACCACATAGTAGATTACACTGCAAAACTTTAAAGATATTGAAAATCAATTAAATATGATTAATTATAAAACATAAAATGTTTATGCATGTAAACATTATAAAATTATTAAAAAGTATAAAACATGGTTTTTATTATGGAGACTGCTATTGGATATATTACAACTGTAATTAAACATTAACCCTAGACTAATGAAAAGATTTGTTTTATGAAAACTCAGTAATTGGTTGCCCTAGTCATAATCTTTTATGTCCTACTGAAAGCTTTTCTTTTTTTTTTTTTGAGATGGAGTCTTGCTCCATCACCCAGGCTGGAGTGCAGTGACATGATCTCAGCTCACTGCAAGCTCCGCCTCCCGGGTTCATGCCATTCTCCTGCCTCTGCCTCCCGAGTAGCTGGAATTACAGGTGCCCGCCAGCACGCCCAGCTAATTTTTTATATTTTTAGTAGAGACAGGGTTTCACCGTGTTAGCCAGGATGGTCTTGATCTCCTGACCTCGTGATCCGCCCACCTCGGCCTCCCAAAGTGCTGGGATTACAGGCATCAGCCACCGCGCCTGGCTGTCCTACTGAAAGTTTTGAGCTCTGTAAAAACACAAAGTCAAAAAGGAAAATAAGACTCCTGTCTATTGCAAGACAATTATGCAGGCATATAGAAGTTATTTTTCAATTTTTAAGGACCTCTTGTAAGGCAAATATAGTGGTAACAAATTTTCTTAACATTTTCTTGTCTGAAAAGGATCTTATTTCTCCTTTGCTTACGAAGTTTAGTTTGTCTGGATGTGAAATTCTTGGTTGGAACTTCTTTTTTTAAGAATGTTGACTAGGCTCCCAATCTCTTCTGGCATGTAGGGTTTCTGCTGAAGGTTCTGCTGTTAGCATAAGGTCCCTGTGTAGGTGACCTGCCCCTTCTTTCTAGCTGCCTTTATAGCAATGTGGATGGAGCTAGAGGCCATTATCCTAAGCAAACTAATGCAGGAACAGAAAAACAAATACTGCAGGCTCTCACTTTGAAGTGGGATCTAAACATTGAGTACTCATGGAACAAAGAAGGGAACAAGAAACACTGAGGCCTACTTAAGGGTGGAGGGTTGGAAGAAGGTGAAGAATGAAAAGCCACCTATTGGGCATCATGCTTATTACCTGGGTGATAAAATAATCTGTACTGCAAAACTCCATGACATGCAATTTACCTATATAACAAACCTGCACATGCACTCCTGAACCTAAAATAAAAGCTTAAAAAAAGACAGAGCAAAGGAATAAATGATGCTTTAAAAAGACTAATGAGCTATCAATGGCAATCTAAAATAAATCCTAAGGCGTTAATTTAAAAAAAAATAAAAATTTTTTAGAATGCAAATTTTTTTTAAAACTTTACATTAATAGCTTTAAATGGGATATTAATTGTTTCATTAAAAGTAAGTATTCATACTTACTAAAGGATTAGTCTATTTTGTTCCTAAAATAATTGATTAAATTTGCTTATATTAATATAGATTATTGGTCATCTCAGCACCCAGAATTCTGTACATAGGATAATGAAAGGTATATTTTACATATATTGCCAACAGAAAAGTGAAACCAAGACAAATTGAACAAAATTTTCCATGTCTTCTTACTAGAATGAATAGTAGATTCTATTCATATCTGTAACTCACTTCATTGCCAGGCGCGTCCTGATTTCAGAGAAGTTAAAATTTGAAAAAAACAAAGTGTGTCTGAAATATGCCTGTATTAGTCTATTTTCATGCTACTGATAAACACCTACCCAAGACTGGGAAGAAAAAGAGGTTTAATTGGACTTACAGTTCCACATGGCTGGGGAGGCCTCAGAATCATGGCGGGAGGCGAAAGGCACTTCTTATGTGTCAGCAGCAAGAGAAAATGAGGAAGAAGCAAAAGTGGAAACCCTTGATAAACCCAACAGATCGCGTAAGACTTATTTACTATTGTGAGAATAGAATGGGAAAGAACGGCCCCCATGATTCAATTACCTCCCCATGGGTCCCCCCAACAACACGTAGGAATTCTGGGAGATACAATTCAAGTTGAGATTTGCTGAAGACACAGCCAAAACATATCACTCCACCCCGGCCCCTCCAAATTTCATGTGCTCACATTTCCAAACCAAACCAACCATGCCTCCCCAGTTTTTGTTTTGTTTTGTTTTGTTTTTTTGGAGACAGTCTCGCTCTGTCACCCAGGCTGGAGTGCAGTGCCGTGATCTTGGCTCACTGCAACCTCTGCCTCCTGTGTTTAAGCAATTCTCCTGCTTCAGCCTCTCTAGTAGCTGGGACTACAGGAGCATACTGCCACACCTGGCTGATTTTTTATATTTTAGTAGAGATGGGGTTTCACCCTGTTGCCCAGGCTGGTCTTGAACTCCTGAGCTCAGGAAATCCACCAGCCTAGGCCTCCCAAAGTGCTGGGATTACAGGTGTGAGCCACTGCATCCAGCCCACAGCCTTAACTCATTTTAGCATTAACCCAAAAGTCCACAGTCCAAAGTCTCATCTGAGACAAGGCAATATTATAAAAATCAAATTATGATTTAAAACAACAATAAATACTCTAAAAACTGTGATGATTACTTATCTGGACAATTAACTTTACTAGAATTTTTAGTCATGCTTAGTTTTCCAAACTTATTGATTTGTTCTGCACTTAAATTTCCTCCTATTTGAATAAAATTACCCATAGTTGGTCTTTTGTTTTTATTTATTTTTTAAAAAGCTTCTTTTGTCTCCCAGTGAGACAAAAATTCTGATATTCTTTATGATTTGAACTACTTTTAATTAACTCTCCTATTTAAATTATACATTAGCTAGATATAAAATTTAGGTTAAAAATTGTTTTTGCTAACTGTGGAAATGTTTGTATTTAATTCAGTTTTTTAATTTTTAATTTTTGTCAGTACATAGTAAGTGTGTATATTTGTGGGATACATGAGATGTTTTGATACAGGCATGCAATGTGAAATAATCACATCATGGAGAATGGAGTGTCCATCCCCTCAAGCATTTATGAAATAATCACATCATGGAGAATGGAGTGTCCATCCCCTCAAGCATGTATCATTTGTGTTACAAACAATACAATTACACTCTTTTATAATGGTTATTCTAAAATGTAAAATTAAGTTATTGACTATAGTTACCCTGTTGTGGGATCTCAATCTGAATCTTTTCCCTTGCAGTGATCTGCTTTTCTATCTTGGAAACTTAAGAAAACTATATGTTCTCGGTGTTAATGTTCCTAAAATGTATTGTAGTGTTTCTAGAGTGTGAATTTGTTTCAAATATTGGCTATTCTGCATATCATGTTATGAACACTTTGAACCTGAGATCTGATTTTTTATTCCATTATATGATGTTATTTGTTAAAACCTTAATCATCTTCATTTTATATATTTTCTCTTTTTATGCCTTCTCTGTGATTGATATTAATATTGTTACAAATTTTAATTTCCTCACACCTTAACTTTGTCCTCATTCACTTTCTCTTGGCCCTTTTCTGGTGTGTTATGCAAGAATTAATCCACAAATTATCTGATCACTCATTCATTATTTTAAAAGCTTTTATTTTACCATGCAATCTATCCATTTAAGTTACATATTTCAACATTTTTTGTATCCAATATGTTGAAGTGGTTATGCTTTATAACGGCTTCATTGTCCTTCATATTTCCATTGTAATTATTTAAGACTTTTTTCATTTATTTAAATCTTGTGTTAAGCTATGAATTTTGCTTCCTTAGATATATTTTGTTATCGGTTAGCTTTCACTCATAATGCTGAAGCTCCTCAGACATGTTGAATTTTTCTCCTTATAAATACCTTTATTGTCTTTATTACCAATCTGCAGGGTAAGCCAAGCCTCAAGTGCTAACTAAATTTATGTGTGTGTATTGAAATTGGAGGAAAATATACATTGAAAGAGCCTCTTATGATATAGTGCATGATTTCCTGCTCCCTGTTCCCACTTCCAGCAGATATTGTCTGTCCTCCAGGAAATATTACAGTATGTCTACTTCAATAGCTTCTTTCCTAGATTATCAGCTGAGAGCTAGAGCCTGCCAGACCTAAGCATAATTATTGTTCTTGGGGCTTCACCCCAGCCTGGCTCCAGTATCGCCTCTGTAGAACTCTACAATTGGAACAATAAAAGAAAGAGAGATTTCAAACTGGTCCCCAAAGCACTGGTTTCAAGCTTTTTATCCAAGATTCTTTCTCTTTCATCTCTTTTATTTGTCTTTTCCCTTTTTTAGTTTCTCTTTCTTCAATTTTGTCTTTTCACTTTTTTAGTTTCTTTCTCTTTTTTCTCTTTTATTTGTCTTTTCACTTTTTTTCTTTTTTCCTTTTTTCTTGACACTTTATTTTACTGAATTATAACATCAAAATTTTAAGACTGCCCAGGACTTAGCCCATCAAAGTTCACAAGACATACCCTTTCCAACTGCTGCTCCAATTAACTCCATCCTGATCACACTCATGGATAGGCTTGATTTCAAGTGCATACAGTGGAGGGAGAAACAGTGCAACAAATATCCTCTACAGCAACTCAATCTCTCTTCTTGGTTTGTGGACTTCCACTGAAGGCCACTTTCTGCCTCCCAGGAATGCAAGAATTCAAAAACCTTAGGCTCCCATGGGCCTCCCATAGGTTTTGGTGGTTGCTAAAAGGAGCTCCATATAATTCCCTGTCTCACATCGGAATCTCCAAAACTAGGTAAGAGACTGAGAACTAGAATCTATTTTACAGGTCTTCATCTTATACAGAAGTCAGTGATGTCTGGCCATATTTTTGGAATGTATATATTCTTCCAAATATTTCCATTAAGCTAGTTTGTCAATTATTCTTGTCGCCTATACTGAATTTATCCGGTAACTGTCCCAATTCCCCTAGTTAATGTTGGAGATACAAAGACACATTTTTATCATTTGTCTTTCTTTTAGCTTAGAGCTTATGCAAACTACAGCTGTCTCCTTTCCCACCTATACCCTTTCTCGATCACAGTGTTATCATCAATATGTTATAATAGATGAAACTCCAATAAATAGTATCAGGCAAATATTTTGACTGTATCAAAAGTTAACCAACTAATATAATTATTTAAATTATAAATATGCTTTGCATAATGCAAGCCACAATTAGATAGGTCATAACTATGATTAAGTAGTAGCCTTAATAAATAAAAAGATATCTTTTATTAAAATTCAATGGACCATTCATTTCTCAAGAGGCATCCCATACTTCTATTTTCTACAGAAATTTTTGAGCTAGGGGGTAATAGAAAAAAACATATAGTAATGTGAATGTCCTGAGTTTCAGTATTAGAAGACAAGCTGATACTTAAAATTGTTTTGGTTTTAACGAAGTAATTCATTATTTTAGAATAATAAAATATATTTAAAACTAAATTGAAAAGTTTTTGGAATGTCTTTAGAAAAATAATCACAGGTTATTCATTAGTTAAAAATAACTCTAAAATAACGTATCAGTGTGAATTAAACTCTCTAGCTTCCAATCTCTTTTATTAAAATTTTAATTAAAATGTTCCCTCTTGAAACACCCTTTTAAATTATAACTTTTATAACACAATTTTCTTGTTCAGGATGACTGCATCTACTGATCTAATTTGGACTCCCTAAGGAAAATAAAACCTAATCTTAGCAATACATCAATCCTCCCCTAGGATTAGTTTGAACTGGTAATGATTTGTATTATTATATACATTATTACATATATTTTTAGAACTTATGTCTCATTAACTTTATTGTAATAACATTAAAATTCTTATCTTAGACGTCACATTGAGTTTGTCCTATTCAGTGCCTACATCAATTAATAATCAGTAACAGAGATCTGTAGGAATTCAATACACAAAAGTCCTAAAAATCACCTATTTGTGATTGGGTAACTTAGCTATTTAATTTTAGCCATATTTCCATGATTCCTTTTATCTTCTAAAAAATTAGATTATAAAAACAAAATATAAAGAGAGTAAAATTTGCTTAAAATTTATGCAACAGAACTATGTTAGAAGAATAGATAAGGGGAGGAGCCAAGATGGCCAAATAGGACCAGCTCCGGTCTACAGCTCCCAGCATGAGCGACGCAGAAGACGGGTGATTTCTGCATTTCCATCTGAGGTACCAGGTTCATCTCACTAGGGAGTGCCAGACAGTGGGCGCAGGTCAGTGGGTGTGTGCACCCGTGCGCGAGCTGAAGCAGAGTGAGGCACTGCCTCACTCGGGAAGCGTAAGGGGTCAGGGAGTTCCCTTTCTTAGTCAAAGGAAGTGGTGACAGACGGCACCTGGAAAATCGGGTCACTCCCACCCGAATACTGCGCTTTTCTGACAGGCTTAAAAAACGGCCCACCAGGAGGTTATATCCTGCACCTGGCTCGGAGGGTCCTACGCCCACAGAGTCTCGCTGATTGCTAGCACAGCAGTCTGAGATCAAACTGCAAGGTGGCAGCGAGGCTGGGGGAGGGGCGCCTGCCATTGCCCAGGCTTGCTCAGGTAAACAAAGCAGCCGGGGAAGCTCCAACTGGGTGGAGCCCACCACAGCTCAAGGAGGCCTGCCTGCCTCTGTAGGCTCCACCTCTGGAGGCAGGGCACAGACAAACAAAAAGACAGCAGTAACCTCTGCAGACTTAAATGTCCCTGTCTGACAGCTTTGAAGAGAGCAGTGGTTCTCCCAGCACGCAGCTGGAGATCTGAGAATGGGCAGACTGCCTCCTCAAGTGGGTCCCTGACCCCTGACCCTCAAGCAGCCTAACTGGGAGGCACCCCCCAGCAGGGGCAGACTGACACCTCACATGGCCCAGTACTCCAACAGACCTGCAGCTGAGGGTCCTGTCTGTTAGAAAGAAAACTAACAAACAGAAAGGACATCCACACCAAAAACCCATCTGTACATCACCATCATCAAAGACCAAAAGTAGATAAAACCACAAAGATGGGGAAAAAGCAGAGCAGAAAAACTGGAAACTCTAAAAAGCAGAGCGCCTCTCCTCCTCCAAAGGAATGCAGTTCCTCACCAGCAACGGAACAAAGCTGGACGGAGAATGACTTTGACGAGCTGAGAGAAGAAGGCTTCAGACGATCAAATTACTCCGAGCTACGGGAGGACATTCAAACCAAAGGCAAAGAAGCTGAAAACTTTGAAAAAAATTTAGAAGAATGTATAACTAGAATAACCAATACAGAGAAGTGCTTAAAGGAGCTGATGGAGCTGAAAACTAAGGCTCGAGAACTACGTGAAGAATGCAGAAGCCTCAGGAGCCGATGCGATCAACTGGAAGAAAGGGTATCAGCGATGGAAGATGAAATGAATGAAATGAAGCGAGAAAGGAAGTTTAGAGAAAAAAGAATAAAAAGAAACAAGCAAAGCCTCCAAGAAATATGGGACTATGTGAAAAGACCAAATCTACATCTGATTGGTGTACCTGAAAGTGACGTGGAGAATGGAACCAAGCTGGAAAACACTCTGCAGGATATTATCCAGGAGAACTTCCCCAATCTAGCAAGGCAGGCCAACATTCAGATTCAGGAAATACAGAGAACGCCACAAAGATACTCCTCGAGAAGAGCGACATCAAGACACATAATTGTCAGATTCACCAAAGTTGAAATGAAGGAAAAAAAGTTAAGGGCAGCCAGAGAGAAAGGTCAGGTTACCCTCAAAGGGAAGCCCATCAGACTAACAGCAGATCTCTCAGCAGAAACTCTCCAAGCCAGAAGAGAGTGGGGGCCAATATTCAACATTCTTAAAGAAAAGAATTTTCAACCCAGAATTTCATATCCAGCCAAACTAAGCTTCATAAGTGAAGGAGAAATAAAATACTTTACAGACAAGCAAATGCTGAGAGATTTTGTCACCACCAGGCCTGCCCTAAAAGAGCTCCTGAAGGAAGCGCTAAACATGGAAAGGAACAACTGGTACCAGCCACTACAAAATCATGCCAAAATGTAAAGACCATCGAGACTAGGAAGAAACTACATCAACTAACGAGCAAAATAACCAGCTAACATCATAATGACAGGATCAAATTCACACATAACAATATTAACTTTAAATGTAAATGGACTAAATGCTCCAATTAAAAGACACAGACTGGCAAATTGGATAAAGAGTCAAGACCCATCAGTGTGCTGTATTCAGGAAACCCATCTCATGGGCAGAGACACATATAGGCTCAAAATAAAAGGATGGAGGAAGATCTACCAAGCAAATGGAGAACAAAAAAAGGCAGGGGTTGCAATCCTAGTCTCTGATAAAACAGACTTTAAACCAACAAAGATCAAAAGAGACAAAGAAAGCCATTACTTAATGGTGAAGGGATCAATTCAACAAGAAGAGCTAATTATCCTAAATATATATGCACCCAATACAGGAGCACCCAGATTCATAAAGCAAGTCCTCAGTGACCTACACAGAGACTTAGACTCCCACACATTAATAATGGGAGACTTTAACACCCCACTGTCAACATTAGACAGATCAACGAGACAGAAAGTCAACAAGGATACCCAGGAATTGAACTCAGCTCTGCACCAAGCGGACCTAATAGACATCTACAGACCTCTCCACCCCAAATCAACAGAATATACAATTTTTTCAGCACCACACCACACCTATTCCAAAATTGACCACATAGTTGGAAGTAACACTCTCCTCAGCAAATGTAAAAGAACAGAAATTGTAACAAACTGTCTCTCAGACCACAGTGCAATCAAATTAGAACTCAGGATTAAGAATCTCACTCAAAACCGCTCAACTACATGGAAGCTGAACAACCTGCTCCTGAATGACTACTGGGTACATAACGAAATGAAGGCAGAAATAAAGATGTTCTTTGAAACCAATGAGAACAAAGACACAACATACCAGAATCTCTGGGACACATTCAAAGCAGTGTGTAGAGGGAAATTTATAGCACTAAATGCCCACAAGAGAAAGCAGGAAAGATCCAAAATTGACACCCTAACATCACAATTAAAAGAACTAGAAAAGCAAGAGCAAACACATTCAAAAGCTAGCAGAAGGCAAGAAATAACTAAAATCAGAGCAGAACTGAAGGAAATAGAGACACAAAAAACCCTTCAAAAAATTAACGAATCCAGAAGCTGGTTTTTTGAAAGGATCAACAAAATTGATAGACTGCTAGCAAGACTAATAAAGAAAAAAAGAGACAAGAATCAAATAGACCCAATAAAAAATGATAAAGGGGATATCACCACCGATCCCACAGAAATACAAACTAGCATTAGAGAATACTACAAACACTTCTGCGCAAAAAACTAGAAAATCTAGAAGAAATGGATAAATTCCTTGACACATACACTCTCCCAGGACTAAACCAGGAAGAAGTTGAATCTCTGAATAGACCAATAACAGGAGCTGAAATTGTGGCAATAATCAATAGCTTACCAACGAAAAAGAGTCCAGGACCAGATGGATTCACAGCCGAATTCTACCAGAGGTACAAGGAGGAACTGGTACCATTCCTCCTGAAACTATTCCAATCAATAGAAAAAGAGGGAATCCTCCCTAAGTCATTTTATGAGGCCAGCATCATCCTGATACCAAAGCCGGGCAAAGACACAACCAAAAAAGAGAATTTTAGACCAATATCTTTGATGAACATCGATGCAAAAATCCTCCATAAAATACTGGTAAAACGAATCCAGCAGCACATCAAAAAGCTTATCCACCATGATCAAGTGGGCTTCATCCCTGGGATGCAAGGCTGGTTCAATATACGCAAATCAATAAACGTAATCCAGCATATAAACAGAACCAAAGACAAAAACCACATGATTATTTCAATAGATGCAGAAAAGGCCTTTGACAAAATTCAACAACCTTCATGCTAAAAACTCTCAATAAATTAGGTATTGATGGGACGTATCTCAAAATAATAAGAGCTATCTATGACAAACCCACAGCCAATATCATACTGAATGGGCAAAAACTGGAAGCATTCCCTTTGAAAACTGGCACAAGGCAGGGATGCCCTCTCTCACCACTCCTATTCAACATAGTGTTGGAAGTTCTGGCCAGGGCAATTAGGCAGGAGAAGGAAATAAAGGGTATTCAGTTAGGAAAAGAGGAAGTCAAATTGTCCCTGTTTGCAGACGACATGATTGTATATCTAGAAAACCCCATTGTCTCAGCCCAAAATCTCCTTAAGCTGATAAGCAAATTCAGCAAAGTCTCAGGATACAAAATCAATGTACAAAAATCACAAGCATTCTTATACATCAACAACAGACAAACAGAGAGCCAAATCAGGAGTGCACTCCCATTCACAATTGCTTCAAAGAGAATAAAATACCTAGGAATCCAACTTACAAGGGATGTGAAGGACCTCTTCAAGGAGAACTACAAACCACTGCTCAAGGAAATCAAAGAGGATACAAACAAATGGAAGAACATTCCATGCTCATGTGTAGGAAGAATCAATATTGTGAAAATGGCCACACTGCCCAAGGTAATTTATAGATTCAATACCAGCCCCATCAAGCTACCAATGACTTTCTTCACAGAATTGGAAAAAACTACTTTAAAGTTCATGTGGAACCAAAAAAGAGCCCGCATTGCCAAGTCAATCCTAAGCCAAAAGAACAAAGCTGGAGGCATCACACTACCTGACTTCAAACTATACTACAAGGCTACAGTAACCAAAACAGCATGGTACTGGTACCAAAACAGAGATGTAGATCAATGGAACAGAACAGAGCCCTCAGAAATAACGCCGCATATCTACAACTATCTGATCTTTGACAAACCTGAGAAAAGCAATGGGGAAAGGATTCCCTATTTAATAAATGGTGCTGGGAAAACTGGCTAGCCATATGTAGAAAGCTGAAACTGGATCCCTTCCTTACACCTTATACAAAAATTAATTCAAGATGGGTTAAAGACTTAAACGTTAGACCTAATACCATAAAAACCCTAGAAGAAAACCTAGGCATTACCATTCAGGACATAGGCATGGGCAAGGACTTCATGTCTAAAACACCAAAAGCAATGGCAACAAAAGACAAAATTGACAAATGGGGTCTCATTAAACTAAAGAGCTTCTGCACAGCAAAAGAAACTACCATCAGAGTGAACAGGCAACCTACAAAATGGGAGAAAATTTTTGCAACCTACTCATCTGACAAAGGGCTAATATCCAGAATCTACAATGAACTCAAACAAATTTACAAGAAAAAAACAAACAACCCCATCAAAAAGTGGGCAAAGGACATGAACAGACACTTCTCAAAAGAAGACATTTATGCAGCCAAAAAACACATGAAAAAATGCTCACCATCACTGGTCATTAGAGAAATGCAAATCAAAACCACAATGAGATACCATTTCACACCAGTTAGAATGGCAATCATTAAAAAGGCAGGAAACAACAGGTGCTGGAGAGGATGTGGAGAAATAGGAACACTTTTACACTGTTGGTGGGACTGTAAGCTAGTTCAACCATTGTGGAAGTCAGTGTGGCGATTCCTCAGGGATCCAGAACTAGAAATACCATTTGACCCAGCCATCCCATTACTGGGTATATACCCAAAGGACTATAAATCATGCTGCTATAAAGACACATGCACACATATGTTTATTGCGGCATTATTCACAATAGCAAAGACTTGGAACCAACCCAAATGTCCAACAATGATAGACTGGATTAAGATAATGTGGCACATATACACCATGAATACTATGCAGCCATAAAAAATGATGAGTTCATGTCCTTTGTAGGGACATGGATGAAATTGGAAATCATCATTCTCAGTAAACTATCACAAGAACAAAAAACCAAATACCGCATATTCTCACTCATAGGTGGGAATTGAACAATGAGAACACATGAACACAGGAAGGGGAACATCACACTCTGGAGACTGTTGTGGGGTGGGGGCAGGGGGGAGGGATAGCATTGGGAGATATACCTAATGCTAGATGACGAGTTAGTGGGTGCAGTGCACCAGCATAGCATATGTATACATATGTAACTAACCTGCACATTGTGCACATGTACCCTAAAACTTAAAGTATAATAATAATAATAATAATAATAAAGAAAAAAAAGAAGAATAGATAAGTAGATGGAGGAACAAATGCAAAAAAGTATACTTTAAAAGAAATGCATTGGCTAATTCATACATAATGTTATCGTGTGAATTATTATGTTGTTTTCAAACTAATTCTGCACTGTGTAAAAAGTTATATATTAGGTTGACGCAAGAGTAGCGGTTTTCGCCATTGAAAGGGAGAGATAGCACCATACAGCCACCTTAGTCTACCTTTTACAATGATCCCAAAAACTCATGGAAACATTTTCAAATGCATAAATTGAAGTTTGCTGCTATTATTAATAGGGACATTTACAAATTCATAAACAATTTAAAAATTGTTTTTAAATTGTTAAAAGAAGGATTGGTGTGTTTCGAAATATTAAAAATTAGTGACTAAAATGACACAATATGTACATGAGAATATACATACCTATAGATTATTAGTCATTTCAGCACCCAGAACTCTGCATAACGTATGGAATATATATTTGCATATTTTACAATCATTGTCAATGGAAAGGTGAATTGAAGGTAAACTGCCCCAAATATTTCACAGGCTTCCTAATAGAAAGAATAATAGATTATATCCATAACATGTTTCAATTTTCAAAGAAAATGGATAACCTATAATGAAATCTTTCCATCATAGACTTTAATCAGTCACCACCATGAGCAAATACTAGTAGCTAAGTAAGCAGCCCTTAAAAGACCTGGAGAGAAACAGAGGACATTTGCATAAAGAAAACCTGGAAAACCTGTCCAAGAACAGGAGAACGTAGAGACATTGATACTGTGAACATAGATGAAAACTGGATTTAGTCAAGAAGACATTTCAGCCTCTATGTGGGATGATACGTGGTAACAGGATTTTAATTTTGAAAGACAAGGTCCTCAGAGCTTGATGCTGTTACATGAAGACAGATCTTGGGGAAGTGGTGACAAAATGCCCTTGTGGTTTAGCTCAGTGCAGAGCACACTGCAAATCTTCTTTACAGAAAGGTGCCAAAACAGAAGAGTATATTTTCCTTTTGGGTCTTTCAAATCTAGTATTTGTAAATCATGGTGAATAGTAATTTGAATACTCAGAATCTATTTATCACTACATTCAAACAGTCCATTAAGCTCCACCTCTAGTAGAGGAATGTGTCTACATACATTATTTGGAATTCCTCTGTAGAGAAGTTTTGTCCTTTCCCCCACCCCCACTTATTTATTTATAAGTCACTGCTTCTCTGCCCTCTTACGAACAGAGCTTGAAAATATTTGCGTTTATCAAAATCCTGTTTGAGTAGGCAGAATAACGGCCCACCAAAGATGTCCATGTCCTATTCCCCAGAACTTGTAAATACTGATGCTACATGACAAAAGAGACTTTGCAGATATAATTATATCACAGTATTTAATTAGGGAGTTTATCCTGTATTATCTAGTTTGGCCCAACTTAATCAAATGAGTCCTTAACAGCAGAGAATTTTCTCTGGATGAAAGTGGAAAACAGATGGAGTAGAAATGAAAATCAGAGAGATTCCAATTGTAAGAAGAATTCAATGCATCATTGCTGGCTCTCAGATACAGGAACCTACAAACCTGAGAGGGCCTTTAGGGGTTTATTAACAGCCAGCCAAAAGCAGGTAGCTCAGTCCTATAATTGCAAGGAACTGAATCCTGCCAAAAGCCTAAATGAGCTTAGAGGTAAATTCTTCCTAGAGCCTTGTAATGAAAACCCAGCCATCAAAACTTTATGAAATCCAGAGCAAGAAACCAGCAGAGCCAACCTGAATCTCTGACCTACAGAATTGTTTTTGAACACAAAATTGTGTTATTTCAAGTAGCTAAATTTGTGACAACTTGCTTCAGTAGCAAGAGAAAATTAACACATATTTATACACATATATCTGTAATTATTTTCCATATCAACCTATGTGTATATTGAACTTAATATGAGTTCATACCGATATCTCAGACTCTTAATCCAGCACCACAGAGTTCATTCTGCCCTTGCTTATTTGTAATTTATTTTCCTGACGGTGAGAAACTTTTAATTATCTTCCATTATTTGTTTATCTCTAATAACACAAATAGTTTAAGAATTATTCACCTATAAGCTTGTGATATTCAAACTTACCAACTAGAGTATTATATTTATGGACAGCTGTTTTTGTCTTTAGTTTTACAAACTGAAAACCTCTTTTGCAAAGTTACTTAAGTCATTTCCTTTTTTTGTCCACATCACCTGTAGTAAAATTTCCACATCACATGTAGTAAAATTTCCTATATATTACGATACAGTTAGGCTTATCTGTCAGAGGCTACATTATATAATACGATTCCCTAACACTCTGGATCATATTTTTTATTTGCATTCATTAAAGTTTACTCTCTACAACGTACGATTCTATGAATTTTGACAAGTGCATAGAATGTTGTATCCACCACTCCAGTACCTCATAGAAAAGTTTACCACACTAAAAATCCTCCTGTGTATCCCCATTATAGTTGACCACGCTCTCTTAACCTGTAGCAACCACTGATATGTTTTCCATCCCTATAGTTTTGCCTTTTATCAAATGTCATACAAATGGAATTATACAATAACTACAAAATTTTTTTGCCTGGCGTCTTTCAGTTAGTAAGGCACATTTAAGTTTTATCCAGGGCTTTTGTGTAAGTAAATAGCTTGTTTCTTTTCTTTTTTTAAAAAATAATATTCCATTGCATGGATATATCACAGTTTATTTATTTATTACTTGAAGAATATACAATTTTGGTAATTATTAATAAAACTGCTCTAAACGTTTGTTTACAGAAGTTTGAGAGAATACAGGTTTTTGATGTCCTTGGATGAATATCTAGAAATAGGATTGATGACTTGTATGGTAAGTCTATGCATATTTCTAAGAAATTGCCAAGCTGTTTCCCAAAATGTCTGTAGCATATTTCATTCCTGGGAGCAACAAATGAGAGTTTCTGTTACTATATATTTTAACACCATTTAAGTTTGCTTTTAAATGCTGTTGACTCGATGTTCAACATTGAGGAACCGATAAACTGTTTTTTAAAGTGGCTGCACCATTAGACATTCCTATCAGCAATAAATGAGGATTCCAATTTGTCCACTTCTTTCTCAACACTTGTTTTTATTTTTTATTTTAGCCATCTTAATAGGAGATGCCTCAAATATATTTCTGTCAAAGCCTTCATTTTACATATTTAGTTCACTCAACTTATGGAGTAGAATGAAAAAAACTGTAAAGCCAATTTTCATTACTAAACCAACTAGCCACATACATTTGCTTTCTCCAAAAATAGAATATCTTACTCACTTTCAATTCTAATATATGTTTTCATCTTCATGAAAACCATGCATTTATTTTTCAGCTCAATTTCTAAGTTGTACAGGTAGGAAAGCAAACAGAGAGGAGACAAAAAATAAGGAGCCTCATCATAACATTGTAGTCTGAAAGAAATGTCACCATTACTTTCAGCACTTGTTACTGATACTCTCTTTGCTATGATCTTATGGGATTCTCCTGCAGAAGTGACCAAACATTCTTTCATGGTAGTCTGAAAATGGAAGAAGCAAAGTAATGAAAATATGACAGCATTCCCACCACGTCCCAGAATAGATCTAAAGATGAAGACTAACAACAAGCCACATCCTCAAAGAAATATTTATCAAGACAAGGAAAAAACAGAACTATACTATCCTGACTTGAATAAGCAAGGTTTCATATGAAAATCATTATTTCAAATATTCCTTTTATTTGGCACTGCAGAGGTTTTTACATATCAAAATGGTTAAGATTTGACATGAATGAGGTGTATGTAGGTTTGCGGGGGTGGGGGTGGAGTTCTTTTTGTTTTGTTTTTAATAATAAAAGCAACTGTTAACCGAGCTGTGGGGTGGGGGCAAAAAGAGCCAGAAGGCGGCGCACACCTCAGGACTATTCTTGTTTTTTTAGAACCATTCTTATTCTGGGGTTTCTTCACCTACCCAAGTCTCGCCTGAAGCCAGGTACAGCTCTATTCCACTACATGACCCTCTGCCCAGGAAGTTGGAATCTTCACCTAGCAACACAGTTCAGATCGAGATTGACAGGACCATGAGCCAATCACAAAGCTAGATTTGCTTTCCAGTCTAACAGTGGCCGTTGTGCTGGAGACAGTGAGGAGAAGAAAGGGGCGGGACAAGGGCAAAGGCGTTAGAAGTCACCACCGACCCAGCCCCTCAACAGCAAGTTGGTTCTTCAGCATTAAGATCCAGGTGTCAGCCTATGTCTTTATATTGTCAAGATGTCTCTTTCTAAGAAGTTGACTTTAGACAAACTGGATGTTAGAGGGAAGCGAGTCATCATGAGAGTAGACTTCAATGTTCCCATGAAGAAGAACCAGATTACAAACAACCAGAGGATCAAGGCTTCCATCCCAAGCATCAAGTACTGCCTGGACAATGGAGCCAAGGCAGTAGTTCTTATGAGTCATCTAGGTCGGCCTGATGGTGTTCCCATGCCTGACAAATATTCCTTAGCACCTGTTGCTGTTGAGCTCAAATCCTTGCTGGGCAAGGATGTTCTGTTCCTGAAGGACTGTGTAGGCGCAGAAGTGGAGAAAGCCTGTGCCAACCCAGCTCCTGGTTCAGTCATCCTGCTGGAGAACCTGCGCTTTCATGTGGAGGAAGAAGGGAAGGGCCAAGATCCCTCTGGAAAGAAGATTAAAGCTGAGCCAGATAAAATAGAAGCCTTCCGAGCATCACTTTCCAAGCTAGGGGACGTCTATGTCAATGATGCTTTTGGCACTGCACACCGCGCTCATAGTTCCATGGTGGGAGTGAATCTGCCCCATAAAGCATCCGGATTCTTGATGAAGAAGGAACTAGATTACTTTGCTAAAGCCTTGGAAAACCCAGTGAGACCCTTTCTGGCTATACTTGGTGGAGCCAAAGTGGCAGACAAGATCCAACTTATCAAAAATATGCTGGACAAAGTCAATGAGATGATTATTGGTGGTGGAATGGCTTATACCTTCCTTAAGGTACTCAACAACATGGAGATTGGTGCTTCCCTGTTTGATGAAGAGGGAGCCAAGATCGTTAAAGATATCATGGCCAAAGCACAAAAGAATGGTGTAAGGATTACTTTTCCTGTTGATTTTGTTACTGGGGACAAGTTTGACGAGAACGCTCAGGTTGGAAAAGCCACTGTAGCATCTGGCATATCTCCTGGCTGGATGGGTTTGGACTGTGGTCCTGAGAGCAACAAGAATCATGCTCAAGTTGTGGCTCAAGCAAGGCTAATTGTTTGGAATGGGCCGTTAGGAGTATTTGAATGGGATGCCTTTGCTAAGGGAACCAAAGCCCTCATGGATGAAATTGTGAAAGCCACTTCCAAGGGCTGCATCACTGTTATAGGGGGTGGAGACACTGCTACTTGCTGTGCCAAATGGAACACTGAAGATAAAGTCAGCCATGTCAGCACTGGAGGCGGTGCCAGTCTAGAGCTTCTGGAAGGTAAAATCCTTCCTGGAGTAGAGGCCCTCAGCAACATGTAGTTAATATAGTGTTACTTCCTTCTGTTTTCTGTCCATGGCCCTTAAGTCAGCTTAATGCTTTTACATCTCGATGTGACTTTTGTTAAAATCTACTCCTAGATCAAGACCTATGTAATGGACAAGCAGCAGGCCATCAGGAACTCTTAATATCAGCACAGCAATTCATTTTAGTTTGGTCACGCATTTGCCTGTTCAAGTTCTCATTTGAACTTCACCATTGTGCTATCTAGGGAGGACATATTCTTAAGTTGCCTATTAAAGAAAGTGAGCTGAAGAAACTGAATCTTTTTATTTTAGTCCAACTTTGCTATTGTTTCATAATTTGAAACCCAAAAGATAAAACTTAATTTGTTGGGAAAGGGTGGAATGAAAGTTGACAAACAAACAATAAATATGCCCAAATAAACTGAGAAAAATAATTACATATAAAGAACTCATGGGTACCATTAAAGTTCTGCTAAGGGGAAATGTTATACTAAATAGGACCAAAAAAAAGAGAAATGAAAGACACTTATTAAACCCAAGGAATTTTTAAAAAGAAAAGAAATTAAACTCAAGGTAAGAATTATGTTTGTGTGCATATCAATGCACAAGATTACACACAAATGCCAGCTAGAAAAAGAGCTACAAGTTAAACCCAAGTTGTAAATAAGTAATTGTTTTATTTTTAAGGCAGGCATTATTTAATAAATAGATAATATAACTGGTAAGTTCTAAAACTTGGTTTTTGAGATAAATAAAATATATATACATAGCTGGTTTAATAATGGGAAAATAGAGATAAAAATTCTCTATTAGAAAACAGAAGATAAAATGATAAGAAATGTAGAAAAAACAAAAACACTTATTGGAAAATATTTTGCTTTATTCTGTAGACAGAGGTAGTTTAGGGCAATGCTATTAACAAGAATAGTAATTAAGAGTAAAAATGCAGATTAACCTTTCCCAGCTATAATGTCTTATGTCCCATAACCGCAGATCAATTGTGATATTCAATATCCTGAATAATTGAGCTTCAAATATGAATCTTAATACATCTGAAATTTCAACATATTTTAAGCAGAATGTTAATATCATAGTAATCCCAGGAAAGATGTAGGAGTTAGGATTAATGGAACCAAAACTTGAGTAGTTGAAACAAGAATAAAACATGTCGCTCTCTCACATGAGAATCCAGGGCAAATAACATGGGCTTTCCTTTTTAAGGTCATCTAGGGAACCAAACTGGTGAAACAGATCTGTTACTCCCAGTGAGGGGGTTCAGTCTGTGTATGGTATGAGGCCACTGTTCAAGCTTTTGCTACTTGATTGCCAACCTGAAGGGGGAAGTTCTTGAAAGGCAATTAGTTTTCTTTTCAATACATGATTCAAAAAGTTTAGAGATTTGTTTTCATGTAACCTGTTGGCATTAGTTGTGAGATAAGGCCTATTTTGCAAGGGTAGATTGGGGATGTATTCTCTCTAGCTGCATACCTTGTGCCAAACTAAAAATCAATAGATTCTATTGCTGAAAGGAAGTAAGGAGGGGAAAAACACTGAAGAAAATTAATGGTTTCTGACAGACTGCCATGCTGGCCTCCCAAGTATCCATGTACAAGTATTCATGTTTTGTTTTGTTCTGTTTTGCTTTCCAAAAAGAAAACATCTGTTCTCCAAGAGATACGATACAATCAAATGTCCAGTTACTGCACCCTACTAAAAACTGGATATCTCTGAATTACGCACAGTTCTTTCTGTGTGATCCAGTGGGGGCGGAACAGCGATGAACTCAAAAACACAGTCATTTTTCTCATACCTCCCAGCCCCTGACTCCATACATAGCCAATATACAATAGTGAAAAAGAAATAGGACAACTGCAACAAAAATACTCACCTAGAAAAAGCCACTGATTCATTACAATTATGAAATAAATCACTCTGGATCAGAATTTCAAGAACTCCCTGACCTGGCAGCAGCCCTATTTCTTTGGTTAGACTGGTTCTGGTTTCTAGGAGGAACTTATCCATTGTCCTTTCCTGGCCAGTCATTTGACCTATTGGGACATTTTGTTTCCTTAACTTCCATGGCATATCGTCAAGCAGATGGTATGCTTCATCAGGCCATATCAGGCCACTGCACAGATTTCCTAACCTCTTTTTGCTGGTATAGTTTTGCTTGTTTGTTTTTTTCGAAGACAGAATCTCTCTCTGTCACTCAGGCTGGGGTGAGGTGACACGATCTTGGCTCACTGCAGCCTTTACCTCCCAGGTTCAAGTGACTCTCATGACTCAGTCTCCCAGGTAGCTGGGATTACAGGCATGCACCACCACATCTGGCTAATTTTTGTATTTTCAGTAAAGGTCGGGTTTCACCATGTTGACCAGGCTGGTCTTGAACTCCTGGCCTCAAACGATCTTCCCGCCTTAGCCTCCCAAAGTACTGGGATTACAGGTGTGAGCCACCATGAACAGCTGCTGGTTTCGGTTTAATAAACCAAGGATGTCTTTTTGTATCACACAATTAAAAGCCTTTCAATGCTGAGCTAGTGGTTTTTCAACTTTCGCAAGAATTAAGGTTTCTGGTGTATTTAGTTTCATTTGGAAGAATTTCACCAAAAATGTCTTCTAGTTACACTTCTTAACCCTCTGATTCTTGTTTTTAATTAATTGACTTCTTTGCTGGGCCCTTTTTTTCTTTTTTTTTTTGAGACAGAGTCTCGCTCTGTCACCCAGGCTGGAGTGCAGTGGGGCATCTCAACTCACTGCAAGCTCCGCCTCCCGGGTTCAAGCGATTCCCCTGCCTCAGCCTCACAAGTAGCTAGAACTATAGGCACATGCCACCATACTTGGCTAAATTTTGTACTTTTAGTAGAGACAGGGTTTCACTATGTTGGCTAGGCTGGTTTCCAACTCCTGACCTCAGGTTATCCACACCCCTCGGCCTCCCGAAGTGTTGGGATTACAGGCGTAAGCCTGGCCCTGGGCCCACTTTTCTTTATTTTAAAGACGGCTAATGTGGTCATATGAAAAAGTTGGTAGTGGTACGAAGGCAATATTTATAATCTAATCTTTGCATGTGGCTTTTTCATACTTTTGGCTGAAAAGTCCAAATGGGGGGGGGGGATCTCTAAAAAAAGCCATGAGTGACACTCTTTCTCCCGCTGTTTGAAGTATCGAGGCAGTTAGTTTTTTCAACTCTGAGAGATCTCACTTTTCTAGCTTATTAGCCAATTTTAGGTTATCTCCCTAAAAAGTTCTGTCACCTCTATTTCTAATTTCAACTGTTCATTTTTTCTTAGCTGTGCTCATTTTTTGTTATAATATTTTACTAAAAACTACATGTAACAAGCAAAATATACTGACATTCTGCCTTTCTAAGCACTTCTCTAGCTGCTTTAATCTCCATAGGAATATGTTCTGCCTAGTACTTTCCACAGTTAACAGTTTTATCAATGCTGCAGCAGAAGAATTATCACCACCTTCCAGCCTTCAATGCCTCTTCACTTCTTCTCACTGACTCCTAAGTGAATGCAATATTTTATAAGTTTTATTAAGGCAGCATTACTACAGGGAACAATGTCTACATTCGTTAGTCTACAGACTAGTGGTTCTCAAACAGAAACACATTTATTCCACAGGGGACATTTGCCAAAGTCCAGAGACATTTTTGCTTGTCACGACCAGAAGAATGCCATAGGGGTCTAGTGGTAGTGGCTAATGATGCTACAAAACACCGTAAAATACACATGACAGCTTTTTACTACAAAAACATATTCAGCCTCAAATGTCAATTGTATTAAGGTTGAGAAATCTTGTTCTAGAAACTACTATAATAAAAATACTTAAAAATATAGCTTCTCAAGCAACATAGCAATTTTACTTTCTTAAGGTAACTTTCCAAGGTGGTTAGGGATAAGCAGACATTTCTTGAGCTCATCCAAGGACCTAATAGAGCAAAAATGTCTCTGTCATTATCTGTACTTGATTTTCATCTCTAGGAGCAGGAGGATCAATTCAGTCGTTGACATTTTCCAACCTACTGTGCAGGGAAAGGGGAATTCAGAGAAAACATCGTCTTCTTAAAGAGGAACACTGGAAGTCACAGATATCAATTTTGTTTATATCATCTCAGCCTGCACTTCATAATATGATCACATCTAAGTGAAAGGGAACCTGGACAATAATGTTCTATAACTGAGTCATCATGGGCCCCATTAAAACTGTTACTGAAAGGAAGAATAACAAAGGGTGAAGTTAAGACAATATCAAAAAGAAGAACCTATGACAATTTCACAATACCCCAGTAGATCCATGGAGAAAATGCTTTCATAGATGATTTACCCTAAGAGAAAGGAGACCATTTAGAGAACAAGCACGCTTCATTTAAAAAATTATGAAAGAAGAAAAATGAATATAGAAGATGATCACATGAGATAGAAAATAAACTGACAAGAATTATAAAAATACATGACAAATTCAAGTACTGCCAGTACAAAATATTAAGTGGTGTAGACATAAATAAAAGACTTGAAAGTGCACGGGAAAAAAATCAGTGAATAAGCATATTGAAAAAATAACATAACACAATGAAGTCTTAGAAAAAGATGTTTGTGGAGCAATATACAGTCATGTGCCCAGTAACAACATTTCACTCAACAACAGGCTGCGTGTACAACAGTGGACCCATAAGATCATAGTTGAGTTGGAAAATTTCTATTACCTAGTGATGCCTCAATGATCCTGACCCTCTGTAGGCCCAGGCTAAGGTGTGTGTACATGTCTTAGTTTTTAACAAAAAAGTTTAAAAAGTTAAAAATTATTTTAAAAATAGAAAAAGGCTATGGAATAAGAATATAAAGAAATACAAATTTTTGTACAGCTGTACAATGTCTTTGTGTTTTAAGATAAGTTTTGTTACAGAAGTTTTCTCTTTTTTTTGTAACATAAATTACTGTTTATTTTTTCCAAGCTGTCAAAGTAGGCTGTGCCCTTGCAGCCACACAAATGTGATGTTTACTCTAATTCGTTAATAAAGAAAAAGTAGGAGTCAAAAATTTTAAAAATGAAAAGTTTATAAAGTAAAAACTTACAGCAAGATCGTTAATTTATTATTGAAGAAAAAATATTTGTAATAAATTTAGTGTGGCCTTCATGTACAGTGTTTCTAAAGTCTGCAGTAGTATACAGTAATGTTCCAGGCCTTCATATTCACCCTCTACTCACTCACCCAGAGTAATTCTCAGTCCTACAAGCTTCATTCATGGTAAGTGCCCTACATAGGTGTACCATTTTTGCCTTTTATACAGTATTTTTACTGTACCTTTTCTATGTTTATATATGTTTAAGTATACAAATACTTAACCATTGTGTTACAATTGCCTACAGTATTCAGTACAGTAACATGCCATACAAGTTTGTAACCTAGGAGCAATAGGCTACTCCATAAAGCTTAGGTGTGTAGTAGGCTATACCATTTAGATTTGTGTAAGTACACATATCCCAGTTGTTAAACAATGTATGTATGACTGTATATAAATACATATACATGCATCTATCATATATGTGTGTATGTTATATGTATATATTTAATATAATATTTTGTATAATTATAAGAATTCTGTAGTTACATATAATTGTATACATTAAAAATACTTTGCTATGTATTAATATCAAATTTTTAAAAACCTTAAAATGTTACCATAAGATTGTGGTATTGCCAAGGTTGCAATTTGAGTTATTTAATTCACATGCTTGGGTATTAGTATTCATTTATTTTCTGTGCATTTTTAATAATATCTGTAAATTGATATAGCTTATTTCAAGGAACATTAGTTAGTAAAGCTGTGATAAACACCAGTCTTTAGTTTCACTCTTTGGATTACCACAGGTTTCTCTAACTCTTTAGAATCATATAGAAGCCTTAAGACTCTCCAAAAAATTAAGGCTCATAAAATTCTTCAAAAGATACAACCTCCCATCCTTCTCCAAAAGAATGTCATTTGGAAGCAATCGCTACCCAAACATACCCTTTATATATGTGTATGTTTAAATGTTCAAGAAAAAAAATCAATTTTAGCTTTCATAATGGCTCCATGCTTGCCCTAAAAAAATAAAATGAAGAAAGGAGAGATTAAAGAGAACATGATGCCATTCATTGTCCCCATGGTAGGGTACTATAGTGTCTCATTATAAACCTTTATTTTCTATGACAGCCTTCATTACTATCCAAAGTGAGAGGAATAGGTAGTTGATTGAGAATATCTCTGTCAAAAACCCTAGTTAAATTCTGTCTATAAAAAGTTAGGATTTTTTTTTCCAGAAAACTTACATAATCGCTTTAATAGAAAGCAATGAGCATGCAAATTAAAGGTGTATAGCTGATCTATTAGAAAATTATACTTTTAGAAAAGCAAAAATAGTCTAGTGATGTTAAAAATATCTTTTAATAAGGCAGTTATATTTGCTCAATGCATTTAATTGTTTTCTTAATATATTTATAAAACCTTGGAATTATTTAGACACTGTGATTTCTTTGAAAGAATGATTTTTGTCCGTTTGTGTCTGTGGAGCAAAGAAAAGTAAAAGTATAATCATTGCAGGTTAATGATATACTTCTGACATGACCACATGAGCTCAGGTAGTGAATGGGGAGGGAAAGGAAGATGGAAGCAGAGAGGTAAAGGGTTAGCAGGGGATTGCAAGTTTGTGACAGAATAATTTACAGTCCCTGTTGACTAATTTGACAAGATGGGTAAATATTGGATAGGTAAATCCAGGCTGTGTAAATCAATAATCATGAATGGTGATGAAGGTATTTTCAATTAATGAAAAAAGTGTAAGTCATACAATAAAAATATTATATTATTTCATATTTTAAGAAGCATGCATACATTAACTGGCTTTAAATTAAATAAATACGTAATTACCGAGAGAAAATCTTCAGGTCCTAGATCAAACCTTTAAGTGTACTACAGAGAGGTGAAGTGTCTTATTAGGAGGAAAAAGAAAATATTCACTTTAGAGTCAGGACTTCTTTCTACTAAGTTATTACAGGCTTAGGTTTAAAAATACTTATGTAAGGCCTCAAGATGCATGCTGTAGAGCAGGTTTCTCAATGTATTTTTACCAAGGCAGCAGCAGCAGCCAGAAACTTGTTAGAAATGCAGATTACTGGGCCTCCATTAGCCCTAACAAATTACAACCTCTGGTGATGAGATCCAGCAACATGTACTGTAATAAGCTCTCCAGTGTTTCTATTTCAGCTTTTGTATTAGGATAAAGACCACTTTAAAAGGAAACAGGAATTAGTTCTAGTGAACAGTCATGACACTACCTACTTGTTTTAACTGAGGCAAATCATTTCACTTCTCTGGGCTTCTTTAGCTGAAAAAGAATATATTTATTTATATGTTATCTGAGGTTCCTTCTAGTTTTTAAATTATATGGCTCTGGAACTCTGGTTGGTATACTTGAGACTGTTGGCTGTAATTTTTATCTGCTAAGACTCTTTACAAAAAGAAAAGAATGACCTAGAAGCTAAGGGACATTGTACATTGAGGTCTAAATTGTAGATGAAGAAAAAAAAATCAGAACCTTGGCTCTCCAACTATAAATTCCTTTTGCAACTTGAAATTTACTTTCTATATATGAAGGCTACATCCCCCCAACTACAGTGTCTGAGAACTTAAAGAAATATAAATACAGTGAAATGGATTCAACTACTCTTTGTCTTAATAGAGTTATTTAGATTAAAACAAGGTGAAGAACTCCCCAGGTAAGGAAAAGTGGGTATTCCACAAGGTGTCTGAAATTGGTTTCTGTAGTAGAAAATTGATAGTTAATACAATACCTGCACATTTAAATATTTGGTTTTGTATTTGCTTATTCTTGTTTGGCTGTTTAAAGTTGTGATTTGGTTGCTTGCACAGATAGAAAAAAATCTAGAGTGAGAACGAGGCTTAGTTTTTATTGTATACACTCTTACACAGTATAATTGTTGCATTAATCACCATTTCATCAGGGCAAGTCATTTACAATTGAGAAGGAAATGGACTTAACTGGATAAGCTCAGATATGACATCTGCAAAATGTCTTAACTCAACTTTTCCCTGCCCAATCCACACTTCCAGATAAGAGAATCACACTTTTGGGTTATTTTGTTCTTTGTGCAAACCTGTTGTTTTACTCTTTAATATTATTGGAATGTTTTGTTGACATATCCCTCTCTCAATTTTTGAAGGTCAGAGACTACATCTTATTCAACTCTCTACTTCAGGGTCTAGCACAGTATTTGGCATATAGTAGATTTGCAGCTATCAATTTATTATTGTTGGTGATGCTGTTATTTTATAAATTGAAAGTAATATTGGGAGATATGTGGAAAATACAAATTGTACAATGAGAGCAAAAATGTAACAATGTCCATGTTGCTACATAACAGGAACCTCATTTTCACAATCAAGAATTTTTTTTTCTTGTCAAAGTAAATGGAATGTTCCACTTATTATAGCATGCTACAGTAAAGAAAGTGAGCTACCCAGGATACAGGATAATCAATCATTAGAGAAAAAAAGTTGAATTCCTATACAAGTAATGAGAAGTCATTAATGAAAGACACAAAAAGTTAGTTCTGCATACTGTACCAGCAGGAAGAGTGATGAAGGGAGAGGAACCGGTGACTGTGATGAAATATTGAGAGTGAATTGTTTGACTATCTCATCAGCAGAAACTAATGATTTTCTTAGCAGAGAATAAATTGAAATTTATATCAAAACTCTACTTGCTACCTATTATTTTTAAGTTATTTATATAATTATGCCTAAGTAAATGATATAAAGGTACTTGACACTCATGTTCATTCATTGTTTATTTAGAAATTCTCAATTAATTTCAGAGATATAAAATTCTGACAGATATTCTAAGGTAGTTGTAGGTTAATTTTTAGATTGATTAAGTTTATGTAATGACTACAACCGATTTTCTTGTCTACTGAGCTGGTAAGCTGTACTATTTACAGACCCTACTTTACTCAAACACATTTATGGCATGGTGAGATATATATATAATATTATAAAAATCACCTACCACAATGCTAGACACTCCTCACCTTACACATGGTTTCTTCTGACCCCTCTCTAAACTTTCTACACTCTTTACTATAAAATAAGCCAACTGTCTTGAAGCAAAACTTAACATTCTCTCTTTCCAGATAAAATATCTCCCTCTCTTTCAACCACATAGCCTATATTTTTACCAGACCCTCACTATCTTAGCCATCTAGATCAAACAAGTCTCTGTCAGGAAGCTGAGGGTAACCAACTGTCCTCGTGTGTAGCAAGGGCATCTGATTTTAGTGCTAAAATAAATTCATGAGTGTCATGCAAACCAGAATGGTTGGTCACCCTAGGAGGCACACTGAAATACTTAATTCAAAGCAGTTTACTGAAGGAACTATTTAAGTATGGGTAGGGTTAAGAATTAAGATGAAGTACCTGAGGGCCCACAACTGGGGATGCCCTAGACCAGAAATTTATAAGGAGAAGGAGCTGTTATCAGAGACTAGTGAAAGCTGTAGCTGGAGAGAGAAGCTGTTGCATAGGAGGTACAGAGCCAAATTTCAGCTTGAGGTGCGGGCTAGAGAGGAAGGTGGAATTAAATGCCTAACCTCTTTTCTCCACATTTAGATTTCCTGATGATGTCTCTCACTGGCAGAGTCTTGTTTTCTGGCAAATAGAAAGCCAGAAAACAAGAGAACTTCTGAGGAATCAGATCCAGGAGTGCAAACGGTAAAGAGAGACTGAGTGTAGATCTGGAGGGGCAAAGAATGTCTAGCCTGTAAGACTTCCCTGAGCAAATTACAGTTATTTCGTGACTTTTAAAAGAATGTTGCACTCCAAACACTCAGCTGTAACCTAGCAAGTTGCAAAATATGGAGACATCGCCAATTCAGTCATACTATATGCAAACTATCTGAATACTTCAAAGCATTATATATTGTTGCATTGTATAAAAATGATGCAAAGGTGAGAATGCATGACTATTACCTTTCCATAAACTCTTATATTTATTAGTTTAACCACTCTACCAATAAGCCAGTTTAAAATTATCAATATTCAACTAATCAATCATATTTAATTTCTTACAGTCTATCAAATAACTAGAACCAGTAGGATTATTTTGGCTCTGAAGCAAGCAGATACACCACTTAATGGTGAAATTGTTTATTCAGTTAATTCATGATAATATTAATCCTTTGAATAGAATAATTCTAAACAAACAGTAGAAAGACTGAGCATATTATTTTGCAATCATCAGCCAAGAGGAAAATCAGTTCACTAAATTTGAGATGTTATGTCCTTATTTTAAAGACATACTGTTGATCAAACATAGTTTTTTTAAAGTGAGGGACATAACCATTCTTATTTGTTTTTTATCCATAAAATGGAAATGATATTAAGATATATTAGTTGTGTGCACGTGTGTGTGTCTTTGTGTGTGAAGACTGAAAAATAAGCAGGAGGCCATTAGCCTGAGGCTGTCTCCATACCCTGAGTCCCTACAAAGCAAATTACAACTTAAATTAATATGTAAACAGTCTCAAACCTAAGTTAGGAGTACAAGGAAGAGTCTAGTTTCAGCCAATCACAAGCAGCCATGTTTCAGACAATTATAGGTAGCCAACTGATCACTCCATGCCCAAATAAAGCAGATGCCTAGCTGTAGCCAATCAGGTGATTTCTCAACTCTGCTTCTGTGGGTATCCTATAAAATTGCACTGCACACACTGCTGGGTGGAGCTCTCTGAGACTCTTCTGATTCCAACTGTTGCCTGATTTATAAATTGTTCTTGGCTCAAATGAACTCTGTTAAATTTAATTTGTCAAAAGTGTTTTTTTAACAAGACCAATGGATACAATATTTGTAAAGTGCTTACCACAGTGTTTGAAAGAAAGTTCAAAATAGGTATGCATTTACATTATTAATAATAAGAAAATGGTTTAATCTGTGCAACTATTCAGGGTTAAATGGATTAAAAACATTTTCAAAAGACCAGAGTTCCCTTGGAAAGAAGTATTTACAGGAAACCATTTTTATAAACTGTCAGATCAGTCTTATTTAAAAGACCTGTTAAGTTCTTTGTTCAGCTGCAGTCTTTCAGTGTCCTTGGAGAGTTTGGGTGAGCTATGTTCTGATATATTTCAGTATGTGAAACATACTCTCCTTGATCTCCAGTCATTCTTCTTGGTGTTTAAAGCCTGCTTTGATAATTAAAGTTTTAATGCATCCTTTTTCTCAGTGATGATAAAGGTCACCATATTAGTACTGAAATTTTGACAAACACATTCTTTTATTTCTCTTTTACATGTTAATTTGAGGGAATACTATATCTTTCCTTATTTTGTAGCCATGGGAAGAATAAAGACTACTCTTGTTCACTAGATAGCTGCTTCAGTGGTGTCAAGCAATGCACTTGCTCTATTTTTATGTGGCTATGCATATATTCCACCCTATACTTTTGGAGAAGAACTATGTCTTATTAATTTTGACATTCAAAACACATAACAATTGTCTGATCCATTATAGGAGCTTGACAAGTTTTTATTAATGAATCAATTAAATGACAAATTGAAACCATTCTTTTTTTCACATGGGTTAATAATAGATTCCATTTTTGAGAACTTACTTTAATCCTAGGACTAAGCACTTTACCAATGGTATGTTATGTAATCCTTAGAACTACACTATAAGGTAGAATTATTCCATTTTGCAAATAAAATCTCGGAATGGAATCTTAATTATTTCAATTTACAAATAAAATCTTAAAGCAGAAAGAGAATGATCATCTGGTCCAAGGTTGAGTAATGGAGTCTCTTTACAGCCTGTGCTCCAACTACTAGGGACCACTGTTTCATGGGACACTTTCTGAATTTGGGCATGTTAGGATAATGATTCTGAAAGTATTTCTGAGACTTCCTGAGAAAGGAAATTAAGAAGCTGTATGCTTATATATACACACTTTGGTTTTCCAATACTTTGATATTAGTTTTGGTAATAATTGATCATTTTTGTTTGTACAGACCCATGAAAGACTGGCTTTATTTTTTATTCTGAAGAAAAATAACCCTACCACTTAGAGACTGCTGACACATTATAACTTTTAAGGATAGAGGCTACCATGGTTTATGCAAAATGTGTTCCTCATTTTAAAAATAACAGTTTAGACCTCTTTTTTTATTAACATTTTTTCATAGCCACATAACTGTGGGCAAGAAATTTTGCTCAAGTTTTTAAAAAGGTAGAATTATAGTATTTCATAATTAAATATAAATATTTTTTAAAATCTAAAACTCTAACTCTTTATATGTTTCTTTTAACCAGAGATGGAAATATAGAACTTTTCACCTCTTCCTCAGTGAAATCACACAAAGTATGCAGTGGAGACACCAATTAATGAGAGTGGCCACAAAGCTGTCTCTCCTGAAAGTGGTAAAGGTGAAGATGGGACAAATTCATTACAAATCAATATTTTACAGTAGGTGTTTCAAAATAAATCTTATATATTTAATCTGAAGATTATTACGTAGATGAGTAGAAAAAATTAGAAGACTTCCTATATTTTATCATCTTGGTTTCAATATTTCATGGTAAAACTTTCTTACATTGTTTGTAAAAGACTCTCCTTCAATAACAATACAGTCTTTGATGACAATAGCTGGAGGATAGATGCTGCACAAGATTATTTGAAAATTATCATTATTCCCACTACCTCACTCCATAATATATCAAAATTTAGAATATTGCAACCCAGCCTAAATATCTGTTTCTAATACCACGATTTTCTCTAACAGAATATGTCTATGACAAGGTCAGACTTAAGGACTTACCATGGGGTTTTGCTGTTTTAATTAAAGGAGGTTTCTTTTTATACTAATAATTCAGATTGTCCCTTTATTGAGGCTTTTGCATCTTGAGGCAACTTGTGATTCAAGATGTGTGAATGCTGCTTTTCTGTTGTAAAACGGGAAGCACACAGTCTTAAGTGGAAATGATAAGAAACTAAAATGAGCACAAAGTTTCAATCAACACAAAATCTGCAAAAAAAAAAAAAAACACCTATGGTCATATTGTCTGTCTGAATGATCTTAGGAGAGAATACAGCCATGGAATTAAAGAATTCCCATAAAATTATCTGGGCCCACATGTTTCTCAAAACTGTTCATGTAGCCCTGAGTGACACTTCAATTAAAAAAAACACCACTGTAAATGACATAAATCTATTTCTATTTTGTACATATGATTATGCTTGACCGAGCAGGAGCATTGCCATCTTGGACAAGCCCCTCATTCTGAAGTTCACTTTAATAAAAAACCACCTAAATCCAAAGGGCATCAACCTAATGACTAAGGTCAGCACGACCATAAACCACAAATAACACCTCCAACCAGAAACATTCCAAACCCCTCCCTGACCAGAGACATCCTAGCCGTGAGATAACCCCGCTCTGGCTGGGAAGATGCCAGCCTGGAGATTACCCCCGTCTGGCCAGAAAGATATCTGCCCCAAGATAAACTCCCCTCCTCCCAGAGACATTCCAACCCTGCCATAAAACTTCTGCCTCAAACAGGAACATTCCAAGCTTCTGATAATCCCCCTCACCCTCAAACCAAAATATACTCTTAAGTCTGTAAAAGAAAGCAGCCCTGACCGAAATCAGCCAGACGCCCCTCTCAGGTTGTATCTAAAGTGCTCGTATATGTATTAGTAAGAGTTAACAAACCACTTATTTAACTTTAAGAATTTAGATGCAGAAATGACTGTGAGATGATACAGAAAAGATCTACTTAGTGAATGGAATATAATTAGTGCTAGCCTAAAGAGACTAAAAATTTGTAAAGCACATCCAAATAGAACTAAATAAACAATTATATTGTATTTCTCCCTCAACTGATGTTTACAATAAATCAAAAGATTAGAGGAAGTACTTTTAGTAGAACTGGCCTAAAAGTAGTAACCAGAACAAAAACATAAGGCCTCTCAGATGGCAAATAAAGGTATCATGAGAAATTTAGATTGTTTCCTATAAATTGACATAAACTATTACTACTTAAACTTTTGGAGAGTTCTAAAATGCCCAATGTAAATAATTAGTTTTCTCCTATAAGTACTTTCCTGTCATCTTGAAATTTTATCATGATTTAGGTTACCTGGGTAGAAGAGAACACTAGTGCTGATGCAGGCTTGTAAATCATGCTGCTATAAAGACACATGCACACGTATGTTTATTGCGGCACTATTCACAATAGCAAAGACTTGGAACCAATCCAAATGCCCAACAATGATAGACTGGATTAAGAAAATGTGGCATATATACACCATGGAATACTATGCAGCCATAAAAAATGATGAGTTCATGTCCTTTGTAGGGACATGGATGAAGCTGAAAACCATCATTCTCAGCAAACTATTGCAAGGACAAAAAACCAAACACTGCATGTTCTCACTCATACATGGGAATTGAACAATGAGAACACATGGACACAGGAAGGGGACCATCACACACCGGGGCCTGTTGTGGGGTGGGGGGAGGGGGGAGGGATAGCATTAGGAGATATACCTAATGCTAAATGACGAGTTAATGGGTGCAGCTCACCAACATGGCACATGTATACATATGTAACAAACCTGCACGTTGTGCACATGTACCCTAAAACTTAAAGTATAATAAAAAATAAAATAAAATAAAAATAAAAATTAAGCCAAATCAACATCAACATAACCTAAAACAAATAATAAAATAAAAATACTAATGATTTATGACTGTGGTCCAAAGAATCATGAGACTTTCAGATTGAAGAACATTATCAACAAGTGGGACAACAAGATTAGAACCATGTTCAACTGAAAAAAAAATAAGCCAACAAATATATGATTGACATGCACAAACTAACCTATTTTTTAATTTATTTCCTCACAGAATTTTTAATAACTAGAAATTATAATAATTCAATAAGTGGAGTAATAAATGTCATGAAATTAATTATATTCTGAAGACAAATTTGATTTCTCTTTTGTGGTCCCTCTGGTTCTTCAGATATTTTCATTTGGTAAAAACAAATTATGTAAGCAAAAACACTTTTTTTCTGATTATAAATATAATCCACACTATTTTCAAATGTGCAGTGAATACTACACATTAACAGCATGCTACTAATTAAACAATTCCTGGGAAAGCACAGAGTTTGAAAGCAAAATGTGAAAATGGTTTAATAGACTGTCAGACACCCTTCTACTGAATCTCTGATTCTACCATCCACATAGAGACAGATGAAACCAGGAAATAGGGAGATATTTTTAACTTCGCACTACACTACCTCCTTTTTGAAGTCATCGGCCCCTTCCAACTTTCTTACCACACAACACAGGTAGTCTTTTTGGAGTCAAGTACCATTTTCAATCTTCAATCATTTTCAATACTCTCCTCAACAGCAGATTACATAATTCCTCTACAACCTCTCAAATCACTGTTTTTTAAATCTGTCCTATATTCCCTACTGCCTCTTGAAGAACGTGGTCTCCAGGTTTATTTTAAATGCAAGTAACTTAAAGTATGCCTGAATATGTGCTAGAAATTCAGTATAGCAGATATAATTATTGTGAATCTTCACCAATTTCACCCCATATATACAGGATTGAAGAGCAATCTAAAGAGGAGAAATGGGTACTGGAGCCCATGTAGGTACCTATCTTGGCATGGGCAACATTTTCTGCATGTCACTGTAGACCCAGTTGGTCTCAGCCACAAGAATAGGACTTAGAAATTTTCAAGGGAATCATTCCAAAGTACAATAATCCACCGGGACCCAAATTACTGTCCAAGGAGTTATTTTATCAGTGCATTTATAGATAACATTGAGCTCATTTACAAGAAATTCTTACTTCCTTATTTTTTCAATTTATCAACCTTTAATTTGCTTTGTCATGTAATCGCAAATTCATTTAAGGTTATTTCCCTCTTTCTCTTATCATATACAAATATGTCTGGTCTCTAACTATACTAATCCTATTTTTTCTGGTGTCTGTCTATACTTCTGTTCTTTTATTTTCTATACTTCCTGTAAATAAGGGCTTGTGATGTTCTTATGTTGTTAAATACAAATCTATTCATAAAAAGAGGCTGTAAGTATCTGAGAATTTCATTACATTTTCTGGTGTAGTTGTAGAACAAAATTTTTGAATTAAAGTATATGTAACATATTACGAATTACTTTCATTTAATTTCTCTGTTAAATTATATATTATATATTATATATTATATTAACATCACTCTTTTAAAAAATGTTCAGTACTGTTCTTAGTATTATATTAGTTAATAACATAATATATAACATATATTACATAATATATAGTAACTCTCCATGGTTACTATAAAACGGGCATGGACTGTGTATCCATGTTAAGGGATGGATTAGAAAACAGATAATATATGTTATATATTATGTTATTAACATCAATCTTAAAAAAAAATGTTTAGCAAGCAGGGCCCCTGCCCCTATATCTGAATCTCAGGGGACTGCTTTTATTTAAAGTACCTTTCTTGAAAATATCTAAGTCTCCCTTCTGTGGCTGGGATAGGCTGGGGCCAGTGGTACTGTCCTAGAAGTGTGCTCCAAGCAAAGTCTAGGACTTGAGTGGCTATTAGTCTCCATTTCTCCCCCTTTGAGCTGCTGTCCAAATCTCTGCTCCATACATGGGATCTAGTTGCCCCCAAAGGCATCATGATTGAATCTATAGGTTGTCTCAGCCTTTGTGGCAAGGCCTCAGTTCCAAGTAGGCTGCCTGTGAGTGGATCACTCCCAACTGCCTGTGTGTGTGTGTGTGTGAGTGTGTGTGTGTGTGTGTTTTATCGGGATTAAATAATATTGGGCCACTAGGACTCTGCTTACTTGCTGATTTTAGGTAAGTCAAGTAGTTTAAATAAAAAGAGGCACCACAAAAACTATATTCTCAGGGCTTTGCACACTCTAGAAGTCAAGGATATATTATTATCCCTGCATTTATTTCCAGAATAATGTCTGTCAGGGAGTGGTATTTAAAATTTACGATAAGAAGAAAGCATTGGATCTGATAGGGTTGAGAACCACTATATCAGACTAATTATAGGGAGACATTACGTCTTATTACTGCAATCTTATCAAAGGTCATAGAATAGGAAGGAAGTTTCTGAGCATAGAGTCTCTATGGAGAACTTAAGCATTGCTCTTCTCTTCATAACAAGAATCCTAGCAACTCCCTTGCAAATGGAACCAAATCCTGGAAATTTACCAATTGTTCTTGACTAGGTACAACGTTAGCATCTGCCAGCGGACTCTAATCTTCTGATAGGAGATCCCTATATCCAAAACATGATTGGCATATAAATAAAATCTATGAGCAAGATCTACTTTGGAACACTGTGAAGAGAGTAAACATACCCCCAATAAAACAAGTCTTGAAGAGTTAAAACACACACATACACTGTCAAATAATCTCAAAGCAGGAAATTTCTAAACTCTCCATGGTTACTGAAAACGGGCATCCATGTTAAGGGATGGATTAAAAAACAGATAATATTTAATGTCCTTTCAATTATTGAAATAATATGAGTCTACTTACATTCTGATGTATTTCACAGTAAGACCTCCCTCTTTTGTAACTTATAGCTGCAGATCAAATCCAAGATCAATGAGACATATCCATCTCAGAAATTCCTGCTTAGGGCTAGCTGGAACCTCAGAATAAAAGTGTCAAGGCTCAAGCCACATTCAACCAAAGGTTTAAAGATTAAAAGGAAGACTCCTCCTCCCATGCAATAAACTGTAGAAGTCCTAAAAAGTTAATTGCAGATAAAATAGTCACAAATTTTATGGTTTTTTTTTTCTGTTCTCTTGAGAGGAGAAAAGGTCTTTAGTAAGCACATTAAATAATACTAATAATAACAATGACAGTAACCATAATAGCAGTTTTCCTGTATAAGCAATATTCTGTGATGGGCAATTTTGTGAAGTCTTACTAAATAAACTAATTTAATTCTCACAATCCCTTTATAAAAATCTGTGTTAGGTTGGTGCGAAAGTAATTGTGTTTTTTGTCATTACGTTCAATGCCAAAAACCACAATTAATTTTCACCAACCTAATACTATAATTATCCTCATTTACAACAGAGAAAATTAAAGCAGACAGTTAGCCATTGGTAATATAATTAGGAAGAGGCTCAGCCAGAGATAACACATGGGACTGTGGATAAGCTTTTTCCTTTGTTCCTACAGCAAAGAAGAAATTTGAATGTCCGTGAAAGTAATTAACTTCTGATGATTATCATACACTTCAGGTTTCTGACATTTTGCCTGGAATATCTATTCTTGTAAGCCTCAAACTTAAGTCAGGGGATTTCAGCATGCCATAGAGGACAATATATTAAATTTGGAGATAAGAATATAATTCCAACTTCTATTTATTAGCTATGTGATCTTGAGGTCTTTTCACTTGTCTAAGCCTGTAGAATGGAGATAGTAAGAGTTTTCTCTAACAGATATTAAAAATTCAAGTGATATAACATATGCAAAGGTGCTTTGTAAACTGTAAAGTGTTAGGAAAATGTTAATAGGATCTATTTCCGGCTTCTCATTTCATCTATACACTTCCAGTACTTTCAGCATCTCTTCATTTCCTCAAATATGACATGTATAATATCAGACCCACCCAGTCATTTATTCAGTAAATTTGTATTAATGGCCTATATGTGTAACACAATCTAAGGGAGTCAGAAAAGGCTTTTCTAAGTAGAAGTAATATTTGAGTTAAAATCTGAAGGAATTAGAGGTAGCCAAACTAGATATAACTAGATATAAGGAACCTAGCCATGAAGCTACGAGGAGAGAGAGTGAGGGACAGAGCAACCTAGGCAGAGAGTCCAGAAAGTACAAAGTCCCTGGAGTGGGAATGAGCTTTTACTGAGAAATGTTAGGAAATCCAGTGTGGTTGCAACATCAATAGGGAGGAGGAGTGTGATTTGCTTGAGAAACACAAAGTGCAATTTGTAGAAAGCAACCCTCCTGGAGCGTGGAGTTGGTAGAGGGAAAGTCTGAAAAACAAATTAAACAATAAAATGAAGAGCAACAATGGTTCTGTTGAAAACTGTCTCATAACAAATCTTGAGAACCACGCATATAAATACAGTATTCCCTTTTCATGAGTTTCCCTAGGCCAGGAGGTACCTTTCAAGCAGTAGAAGAAATAAGCATTTAAATGATCAAGAATATCTGGAGACCCAACCCAAGATAGAAAAATGTTTTGAAACCTGGAAAACAGCACATGCTAATTAAATCTAAAAAATTATCCAGCAGGCAGAAGAAAATTTTATTTAACCCATATAAGAAAGAGACTTTCCTTGCCCATGCCTATGTCCTGAATGGTAATGCCTAGGTTTTCTTCTAGGGTTTTTATGGTTTTAGGTCTAACGTTTAAATCTTTAATCCATCTTGAATTGATTTTTGTATAAGGTGTAAGGAAGGGATCCAGTTTCAGCTTCCTACATATGGCTAGCCAGTTTTCCCAGCACCATTTAAACAACCCCATCAAAAAGTGGGCAAAGGTCATGAACAGACACTTCTCAAAAGAAGACATTTATGCAGCCAAAAAACACATGAAAAAATGCTCACCATCACTGGCCATCAGAGAAATGCAAATCAAAACCACTATGAGATACCATCTCACACCAGTTAGAATGGCAATCATTAAAAAGTCAGGAAACAACAGGTGCTGGAGAGGATGTGGAGAAATAGGAACACTTTTACACTGTTGGTGGGACTGTAAACTAGTTCAACCATTGTGGAAGTCAGTGTGGCGATTCCTCAGGGATCTAGAACTAGAAATACCATTTGACCCAGCCATCCCATTACTGGGTATATACCCAAAGGACTATAAATCATGCTGCTATAAAGACACATGCACACGTATGTTTATTGTGGCATTATTCACAATAGCAAAGACTTGGAACCAACCCAAATGTCCAACAATGATAGACTGGATTAAGAAAATGTGGCACATATACACCATGGAATACTATGCAGCCATAAAAAATGATGAGTTCATGTCCTTTGTAGGGACATGGACGAAATTGGAAATCATCATTCTCAGTAAACTATCGCAAGAACAAAAAACCAAACACCGCATATTCTCACTCATAGGTGGGAGTTGAACAATGAGATCACATGGACACAGGAAGGGGAATATCACACTCTGGGGACTGTGGTGGGGTGGGGGGAGGGGGGAGGGATAGCATTGGGAGATATACCTAATGCTAGATGACGAGTTAGTGGGTGCAGTGCACCAGCATGGCACATGTATACATATGTAACTAACCTACACAATGTGCACATGTACCCTAAAACTTAAAGTATAATAAAAAAAAAAAAAAAGAAAAGAAAGAGACTTTCCAAGGCCAATACCACTTGAGTAAATAACCTGATCAGACACCATATGAAAGGGTCAGTACTTGTTATCTACATACAAAAAATCTATTAATATAATTAGTTTTGTAAACCAAGGCAGGTTGTAAAAACTTTTCCTTTTGCTTAAGATGACATTGAAATGGACATGGGTCACTTTCATTTTTGTGTAACTTGGAAGAAATAGTAAAATCTCACAGTGGAAGTTATTTAACCTGATGGTTAGATTGCTTTCACTTTGTGAGTATCTTAGAAATAATAATAGCCTTTAAAAGGTAGTAAAAAACAATGTTAGCTAATCTACAAGCTTCATTTTAAAGGTAGATGAGGTATTTTCTTCAATGAGGGACAAGAAATAGCTTCACAGCCACAAGGACTGAACCATAAACTTTGGACACCAGTGAAGTATTAAAACAAACATAAAAAGGTCACATATCAAAGAACAAAAACTCAGAGCCAACTGGAGAAACATCCAGATAAATCACTAAATGGATTTCTTTATTCCTTGAGCCTTAATTTAAAGGGAATTAACATTTGGCAAACAACTACATTACATGCTTAAGGGACAATGAATGAGCAGGACAAAGCAATCATTAGTTAACATTTGAGAGAAAAACAAGATGAGCTCAAAGAAGGCACATGCACAGGAGTATAGCAGTGCTCACCGTGGATTTGAATCATTTTGGGGACACAGACGGTGATATTGTGTAGAGTTGGACCCAAGCCCAGGAAAGAACAAACTTTCCAATTGTTACAAACCCAGGGTCATTGTGTGGAAATAAAGCTTTGGATTTACTTGTTCCAATAGTGTAGCTCTGAATTCCTCAAACTGGCATGAAAGAATAAATGCTGCAAGAATAACTCTCTTTCTTCTCTCTCATTCAGTTACTAACCCAAATTACATTTTCCAAATACCATTGTATTAATTTATTTTTCTGTGTTTTTCTTTTTGATATCGCTGTTGTTGACAGTGTAAATCAACCTCCTCTCCATTCCAACATGTCCGTTATTTCTTTCAAAGTACAGCTGAAAATGTATCACGTTCGTGAATCCCTATCTGACTAATCTTAACCAACATTTTAAAAACTATGTGTTCTTTCAAGTTAGCATTATCTATTCATTTGGTCAATATATATGCAGGAAAAGTACAAAGGACTAGAGATAAATACACACAAAAACACATGAACGCAGAGGTCAAGAATACCACTGTTGAGAAGGAAGATGAACATACAAATAAATAGCCATATTTTAAAAACTGAGTTAGAAATATGTACAGAATAAAATGTGAGTATAGGAGAAGCATTCAAATATGCCTAGAGGAGCTAGGGAAGACGATTATGAAAAAAATGTTAATCAAGATGAGTTACAAGCAGTAAGTAAAAGTTTAAGGGAAAGAAAACTAGGAAAAAAGAGTGATCTGGAAAGCAGGTGCAAAAGCATGGAGACATAGGAAGGGAAGATGTCATTTTCTGCAGCAATGAAGCATAGAGTAGGAGGATTTGAAGCATAGAACAGATGAGATATGAAGGAGCCAAATTATGACATATTTTGTAATACTCTGAAAAGCAGATTATATATTTTCAGAATGGATATTAAAAAATGTACCATAATGAGTACAACATAGACACTGATCCAGCAAAACATTTTCAAGTCATAGCACTGAAGCAGGGTCCAGCAGGACACTTCTGGGCCAATTTGAGACTTAGTGGTTGCTAGATTGTGGGACAGTTCATTTGGGTTCTGAAAGCAGAAGTCAGGCTGGTTCCAGAGTAGGGCAAGGAGAAGTTGAAGGGGTAAGGAGAGCAGTAATTTGCCAAATGGTGTCTGGTATATATTGGTTAAATAAGAACTCTGTTATTTTTATCATTATATATTTTATTATTCATATTAATATTATATAGTGTATATTTTTGTTGACTTTGCTGTTCCTTGTTAGAGTTGAAATCAAGGGAGAACAATCAATTTTAAACATGATAGAATGATCATTTATGCATCATTGCTCTGGTATCAGGAGGAAGAAAGAATGGAAGAAAGACGAAAACTGGAAAGAGTAAGAACAAGATAAGGGTATAATCTGGAGAATAACTGAGGGCCTGGCCCAATCTAGGACTGTGGTGCTTCCAATGTAAAAGATGAGCTCATACTAGCAATATCTTGGAGGGACAAGTTGCAGTTCTAACTTGAAATGAACAGGGATAATTTGGAGCTAACAGTCTAGTATACATCCAAAACATTTAGTCTGTTCTGGATTTTATGTTTAAGACATGTATCCTAGTATTCCATTCTCACTAAAATGAAAGTATTTCTTGATTTTCTGGGAAGTTCTTGGCATATATATATATATATATATATATATATATATATATATACACACAGGTTGTTCTGCAATAATTTTTTAATAGTGTCTTCTTTCTCTTTTAAAGTACCACAGATTAGATGGTCATTCTAACCAGCTTTAAAAAAGTTTCAAGTAGTTCAACACGTGTTTGGCTTTCAAAAGATTTCCCCAAATATAAGAATCATTTGGGAAGCTTACTGAAAATGCCAGAGTCTAAACTCCACTTCCAGAGATTCTGAGTCAGTGGGTTTAGGATAAAACAAAACAAAACAACATAAAACAAGACAAAAATCCACATGCTTTAGAAAAAAAAGGTGAGCACCTTGCTGTTTTTTATTTGCTTTTAGGAGCAGTGCATTAATATATCCAAATGATCTGCATACTCTCTCTTCTCTCCACGGAAGTCAGAATAAATTATACATACCAAGTTCTCAGCAAATACTATGTGGCTTATGCAGATGATCCCCAACTTATGATGATTCAACCTGGGTTTTTCTAGGATGGTGAAAAAGTGATAGACATTCAATAGAAAACATTCTTCAAATTTTGAGTTTTGATATTTTCTCAGGCTAGCCATATGTGGTAGGATACTCTCTTGTGATGCTGGACAGTGGAGATGAGCCGCAGCTCGCGGTCAGCCAGGCAATCACTGGGGTAAACAACCAATCTGTTTTTCACTCTCAGTACCGTATTCAATAAACTACATGAGTTAATCAACATTTTATTATAAAATAGGCTTTGTGTTAGATGATTTTGCCCAACTGTAGGCTAAGGTAAGTGTTCTGGGCATGTTTAACGTAGGCCAGGCTAAACTATCCTGTTAGATAGGCTGGGCATATGCAATGGTTTGGATGTTTGTTCCCACCAAACTTCATGTTGAAATTTGAGCCTCAATATCGTAAGTGGGGCCTAATGGGAGATGTTTGGGTTATGAGAGTGGATCCCTCACCCACAGATTAAATCACTCCTTCGGAGGTGAGTTACCATTCTATTGGTTCCTGAGAGAGTTTGTTAAGAAGAGCCCAGCACTTCCTACCGCCTTGTTCTCTTGCTGTGTAATCTCTACACATGCCAGCTCCCCTTCACCTTCTGCCGTGAGTGAAAGCAGCCTAGAACCCTCACCAGGTGCAGATGCCTAATCTTAAACTTTCCAGTCATCACCTTTGTGAGCCAAATAATCCTTTTATTCTTCATAAATTTCCCAGCCTCAGATATTTTGTAATAATCACAAAATATGAACTAAGAGAAATGGTAGCAAGAAGTGAGCTGTTGCTATAAAGATAGCTGAAAATGTGGAAGTAGCTTTGGAACCGGGCAATGAGCAGAAGTTGGAAGAGTTAGAAGGCTCAGAAAAAAAAAAAAAAGAGAGAAAGTTTGGAACATCTTAAAAATTGGTTGTGACTGTGAACAAAATGATGACGGAAACCTAAACAGTAAAGACCATTCTAAGGAGGTCTCAGATGGAAATGAGAAATTTCCTGGGAAGTGGAGCAAAAGTCACCCTTATTACATCATAGCAAAGAACTTGGCTGCATGGTGTCCATGCCCTGTGGCTTTGTGTAATGCTAAACTTAAGAGTAATGACCTAGGCTATCTGGCAGAAGAAATTTCTAAGAAGCAAAGTTTTCAGAGGATGTATAGGAAAGCCTGGGTACTCAAGCAGGCATCTGACATAGGACCATAACCACCACAAAGTGTTCCCTTCTGGGCAATGCCTAGTGAGGCTGCAGAAGTGGAGCCACTGTCTGGACCCCAAAATGGTGGAGAAACTGACAGTATGCCACTTCAGCCTGAAAAAGCCACATGAATTCAACTTCAACTTGTGGGGGCAGCCACATGGGCTGCATGCCAGAAAAGCCATGAGATGGGACTAAGCAAGACTTTGGGAGCTCACCTGTGTGCCCAGGATGAAGAACATAAAGTCAAAAGAGATTATTTTGGAGCTTTCAGACTTAATGTCTGCCCTGCTTAGTTTTGAACTTCCAAGAAATCCTTGCTTTTGGCTGATTTCTCCCTTTTAGAGTAAGAATGTTTACCCAGTGCCTGTACAACCATTATATTCTGAAAGTAAATAACTTATTTTTAATTCTACAGTCTCATGACTCTCAACTCTCATGGGAATGTGGTAGTAGGAGATTGAGGAAAAGGATTTACAGAGTCAAGTCTTGAGGCCCAGGGGAAGGCAAAGCCCAGGGAGGAGGAGCAGGAGGCCAGCTACAATGAGTCCACAGAAGACAGGGAACCATGTACTTGTGCAAAGGAAATAAGGTGAAAAGTCTATATGACCAAAAATGACCAAAGTTGCTTCTAGATAAATAACATAGTTCACATTGGACAGAAGTAAAATACTTTGTTTTACTCTTCCCTTCTCAGGCATTGTGACAGAAGGGGAAGGGAAAGCCAAATGCTTCCAAGCTTCTCTCTGGTCTGTGCATTGGCCCAGTTTTTGGGATCTGGAGTGGCTAAGTTAGCCCAAAGCGTTTCAATACAATGCTGGAGGGAGGTGAAATGCTCTATATTATAAAGTGAGAATGTTTCTAGAGTTTCTGGAAAGAAGCCAGAGAGGAGCGAATTGTATGGGCCACTTACACCAGAGGCAGGAAGCAAGTTGGTAAAATAAATAAATAAATAAATAATAAACCTTTTGAAGGTAATTTGAAGGTTTTAAAATACAACCTCAGAATTCTTTGACACTCTACCAATTGAGAGGCGAGGTCTATGTCTTCTTTCCTTGAATCTGGGGTCTGTGACTGCTTGACCAATAGAATATGATAGAAGTGATGCTGCTCTGATTTCCAGGCCCAGGTCTTATGACATAGGCTGCCATTAGCCAGTCAGCCATGTGGTGCACCATGTTAGAAGTAGATCCTCCAGCCCTAGTCAAGCTGCCAAGGGAAACCCATATAGATCAGAGAAAAGCCGTCGCTACTGACCTCAGCCCAGACTGAAGGTGCGTAGCAAAATACCTAATTTGTGTTTCTTTAAAACACACAGAAAACAGAGAAATAACTTACCTGGTTTCTAGTCTTTGTTTATGAGATAGATATCAGGAGAAGTTTCCTAGCTAGAGCTGGAGAAATTATGTGCCTTCGAGTAAGCAAATTAATAGCAATAATTACATCACTACATTTCTACTGAGGCCTACTTTGATGACATGTTTTGAACATAACTATTAATAAAAGAAAATGATACTATTCGGAGAAACAAATGTTCTGATAACATTTATATTTGTGTATTCGTACGTGAAGATGTAACCAAAGTTCTTTTTCAGCATCAATCGTCTTCATATTGATCCCAATAAAATTTTAAGATGAAAACATTAGAAAGGTAAAGTAAATGAAATACACCTGAGCAACCAAGAGGCAGAGTATAATTTGTGGCTTAGGGATCAGAAAGAAATTGTGGAGATAAAAAATTTAAAGCAATTAAATGAGCTATAAAGAAAATATAGTCTTGCCTGAGAGGTGTTTATCTTTCATCTTAGGAAACAATTTGGCTTTTTACAATTGCTCTCAATAAAGAAACATAAGCTTATTTCACCAAGGTTGACTGTCTAAAACAAATTATCTATTCCCATTTACAATGCCACCACTAATATTTAAAGACTTGTAATCTGATTGGTTTAAAAAAATGCAACAGTATGTCATTGCTCAAAAGGCTCTCAACATTTTCAGTATAATAATGACTCCTTTAATTTGACATTTGAATTTTTTAGGAACTAGTCATGAGCAATTAGGATGTGTGAAATGACAGATGACATATACCCAAGTGCTTTTTATCAAGTATTTTAATTTACAGGTATAACTCTCATTGGATACATAAAAGATACTACTGATAATTACAACAATTTCAATTTATATAAATCAACTAGACAGAAGTTAAATGTATGCAACAAATACAAAAGTTGAAAATGGTAATTTATTTTTATGATAAATGTCTTTTTCTTAAAATGTTAAATAAGGAAGCAAAGAAGAATTAGAACAGAAAGCAAACATTATTTAATTCTCATCACTGAAGTGAGAGTTGTCATCATTTGGAAGATACAATGCTTTTTTTGTGGTCAATGATACTGAGCACTTCTTATTAGGTAACATTAATCAAAGACTACATTCATAATTTTAAACCTGGCCTTAAAGAGAGTAGCAATAACACAATACCTGTACAAGGTGGCTATCCATTTACAGTCCTCTTCATAGAAAAATATTGCCAAAGTTAAGAAAACACCACCAAAAAGATTACTTGCAAATCATTCACCATTAATTTCTGATTTTTTAATGTTGTATTCATGTGTAAGCACTGCTCTGTTTATTTCCCAAGAGCAAAATATGTCATCAATAGAAATTATGCCACTCACAGGATAAATTATGCCACTGCCCACAGGATTCTCAAACTTCCTCCTCAAATAGCAAAATATATCTTCCTTCTTTCTAGTTTTTCAGCAACAATAAAGATATAATCTCTGCCAATTGCACACACACACACACACACACAATTGTCCTAGATATCTGAAGATAATACAGTGGATGCTATTAATTTCTGTATATCTATTTGTTGAACTATTAATTCTAGTGATGCTTATATCCATACTCAGATTATAGACACAGTCCTGTCACATATGTCAAAGTTTACAGAAAAAAAGAGAAAATTGATTCTTATTTGTCAGAAATCAGGACTTCAGTTTTGGATTGTCCTTCAGATGCTTCATTCGCAAGACCTTATTATTTCCAGCAATGGTTCGGTGCTTAGATTTTAAAACTTTGATCTAAAGTGGTGAGCAAAAACACAACCCTAATTATGAAAATTTATGAAATGATAGTGTCACATATGACCCTATACTAAACAAGCTACAGCAAGTTAGTCTTTAACAGACAGCAGACTAGAAGCAGGTAGTGTGTGCCACTCCCATGGAGAGAAATAGAGGGGTGAGTAAATACAGCACCTTCAGTGGAAACATCCAGGTACACTCATTAGGGTTCATCAGAAAAACAATTCAACCCACAAAGAATGGAGAAAAGAATGGCAGGATATCTCCCACCCAGGAGCAATGTGGAGCCAGGGGAGTCTCCCCAGCCCAAGGAAGTGGTAAGTGAGTGAACACTCCCAGGTACTGATGTTTCTCCCATGGATCTTTGCAACTCTTGAGTCAGGAGACCCCTTCATGAACCTATTCCACCAGGGCCTTCAGTTAGACACACAGAGCTACACAGAGTATTAGAAGAGCAGCTGCTCAGACACACATGGAGCCCCAAGTGAGCTTCCCAATAAAAGTGGCTGCAGCTCTGGCAAAATGGGAGGTTAGACCTCCATACATACCTCTAGGAAAGGGGCTGAATACAGGGGCCTGAGCAGCCACAGTCTGCAGACCTTGCTTCCATGGCACCTCACTGGATAAGACCCACATCTTAGAACTTCACTCAGCTATGGGTAGCAGTATTATACCTCCCTGCGACCAAGCTCCCAAGGGGTGTCTTGGGCCACCATCTATGCTCTTTCACAGCCTTAACTATTAATACCTCTGAGCTCTGAGGAATCCAAGACAACTAAGGACTGGAGCAGTTACCCTGGTAAAGTGCAGCAGCTACACAGAGAGGTAACCAGACTGTTTTTCCATGTGGGTCCCGGATCCTATTTCTCTTCACTCGTCAGAATCTCTCAACTGAGGTCTACAACCACCCCTGCCAGTGTTTTCCAGCTGGCAGCAGTTCCAAACCTTCCTGGGATGGAGCTCCCAGAGGGAGGGCAGGCTTCCATCTTTGCTGTTTCGCAGCCTTCACTGTTGATACCTTCAAGTACTGGAAAATTCAAGGTGATTAGGGACTGGACTGGATCCCCTGCATACTACAGCAGCCCTGTGGAAAAGTAGCCAGACTGTTTTTTACATGGGTCCCTGATCCCATATCTCCTCACTGGATGGGTCCACACAGCCTGGGTCTTCACCCACTCCCCACTGGGGCTATCAAGTCAGTATCAGCTCTGCAATTCCACGGGACAGAGCTCCCAGTGGGAGGGGTGGGTTGACGTCTTTGCTGTCTCATAGCCCTCACCAGTGCTATCTCCAGGCTCTGGAGAGTCTGTGAAGACCAGGGTCTTGTCTGGACCCTCAGTACAGAGCACTTACCTCATGGAAAGGTGACCGGACTATTCTCCATGCAGGTCCCG